>NC_000022.11:33558048-33709564 GCF_000001405.40 Homo sapiens | reverse complement strand
ATAGAGGAGAATGAGTTATGAAGGAAGCGCGCTACTGCCTCACCAAGGATGAGTTTAAATCCAAGTGCAGTCTTGGCGTGCATTCAATGCAAATGACTAGTAGGGGTAAAGCTAGATAGACCCTAGATATGAGTCCCAGTGCCACTCTTTTTAGATCCATGACCCTCTGGTAAGTTCCTTCACCTTCCTCAGCTTTGGCTCTCTTATTTGTAAAACAGGGCCTGACGCCAGCAACCTCACAGGTCTAGGCACCTTCGTGGCGTGGTGGGATCGTGTTTTCAGGGTCTTGGAGGTCTGGATTTTAAACCTGGCTCTGCTGCAGATGAGCGGGGTGGCTTCTGAGAATCACTTACTTCCTGTGTGTCTCATTTTGCTCAGTGGTATAAAAGTGGTAATGACTGTGATTGGCTGAATTGCGCCCCTCCATGTCCGAAGTTGTGTTGAAGCCTTAACCCCTGATACCCAGGAATGTGACTGGGGATGGGGTCTTTACAGAGGTGATTAAAGTAAAATGAGGTCATTATGGTAGGCCCTAGTCCTATCCGACTGGTGTCCCTATAAGAAGAAGAGATTAGGACACAGATACAGAGGAAAGACCCCATGAAGACACTAGCAGAAGATGGCCAGCTGCAGGCCAAGGAGAGGCCGCAGAAGAAACTAACTCTGGGCTGGGGGTGATGGCTCGCGCCTGTAATCCCAGCACTTTGGGAGGCCAAGGCGGGCGGATCACGAGGTCAGGAGTTCGAGACCAGCCTGACCGACATCGTGAAACCCCGACTTTACTAAAAATACAAACATTAGCTTGGTGTGGTAGCACATGCCTGCAATCCCACCTACTCAGGAGGCTGCGGCAGGAGAATCGCTTGAACGCGGGAGGCAGAGGTTGCAGTGAGCCGAGATAGCACCACTGTACTCCAGCCTGGGCGACAGAGCGAGACTCTGTCTCCTACACACAAAAAAGAAGAAACAAACCCTGCCAACACTTTGATATCAGACTTCCAACCTCCAGAACTCTAAGAGAATGAGTTCCTGTTGTTTCAGCCCCATAGTCTGGTATTCTGTTAGGGCCGCCCTAGCAACATAGTATGAGGACAATCACCTGAAGGTATGAAATGCCTCAGGCAGGCATGTAATGTCTGTGTTATGGCGAGGGGCACTCAGGAGGGCTTCTGGCTGGGCTGGGTATGAGGGTCTCTGTCTACGCATTGGCCACCACAACCCCCTTCCAGAGCGTCTTTTCCCCATAGACAGCCTCAGTGCCCAGTGCACTGTCATATCCCTTAGATTTTTCTTTTCTCTTTCCCTCCCTCCCTCCCTCCAATAGCAGCTCCATATCAGCAACTCCTAACTTCTATTCAGTCCGTGGAGGCTGGACTCACGACAGTGCCAAGCTTGGTTGAAAACACTCTTTTCTCCTCTGGGATAGGTGCTTTCTTAGTCCTGAGCCTGACATTCTACACAGTGGCCAAGGGAATTTTCCCTAAGGGTCCTTCTGGGTGATATTTGGGACTGGATCCTTCTCAGCAGCTTGGACATCGTCAGCCTGGTCAAGTGTCATCCTCTCTAAGGCCCTGGCTCGTTCCATCCTGTGTGTGTGCACAGATGTCCATATCCTGGGTCTCTGCTTGGCAATTCTGCAGACACTTCCAGAGCTAAGCACACTCTGGTTCCCTAGTTTCTCTCTGGCTTTCTCAGATGTGCTTGATATTGTTGATTTTTATGGGGGTTCTCGCCCCCAGGGCCCTCACAGTGCTACTAAAATCATAACAGTGACATCAGCCACTTGGGTGTGTGGGTCGACTGTGGGAGGCAGCTCCATCTGGAAACTAAAAAGAGACACAAAATCCTCTTCTTTTGCTTCCCCCGGACTTATCTGTATCTTTGCAGGTAGACAGGGCCAAATGGAGAATTTACAAATTGACACTTTTCTAAAGCAGCTTGATATTTTAGAAAGTTCCCTTGATTCCAAAGAACTGAGACCAGGGAGTAAGATTGGCTGCAAAGCCAGAGCAGTTGGAGAAAGGAGGGAGCATGATGCGTGTGTGCTTGGACAGTCTTGGTTGTTTTGCATCAGAAATATAGCCACAAACCCCATCTATAGGATTTTAGGAACCTAATAACCACTTCCAGCTGTTAACACCTTGAGACTTTCTAAGTTACAGTCAAAGAGGATCCCTGGCAAGCTAACATTGATTTTATAAATTTTGTTATAGGGAGGTTGAATGTTTTTCCCATTCACCTGGATACTCCCTGTATTTTACTAATGGACTCACAGTAAAATGATGGGCCTGCTTGTGCCAGGGGGCAGGTGTGGCCCCGGGAGCTCTCCCTTTCTCACCTGACAGATGCATCTAGTGTCAGGGCAGTGAGAGAGGGAAGCCAGCATGTTTTCCCCATTCCCTCCCACATCTTTAGTAGCCATGATATTATTCAGCTAGAATTGGTCTCGCGTGCCAGTTCTGGATCTACTGAAGATGACAGAATTCTTACTGGATGATGGGGTGATGGTTGCTTTTTCAGGCTGCTTTCTGGTGACATTCTGGAAGACACACCTTAACACATATATGTTAGTTTTCTGTTGCTACTATATCAAATCACCATACACTTAGTGGCTTAAAATAATACAGATTTACTTTTTTATAGTTCTGGAGGTCAGAAGTCCAAAATCAGTCTCACTGGACTAAAGTCAGGGTGTCCATAGGGCTGTTTCATTCTGCAGTGGTTTCAGGATCTGAGATGTCATGGATTAGGAAGAATTTGAGATTGTACCTGCCTGAGGGCAGAAAAGGGCCAATTCACAGGGATTTATGTGTCTCTGTCTTTTGACGAAAAGAACTTCTAAGAAGGTAGGTTAGCTATGCAAATGATCTGAGGCCCAGGTATCTTCTGTCTGGATTTGCTGAATCATTTCCTTTCTTTAAAGCGATTTAGTTGATTTTTACTAGAACCTCTTCCATCCCCTTCCAGAAGGAGAATCTGAAATTACATCAAGTTACTTGTTTAATAATTTTATTAGTTGTCCTGTGACCAAGACTGACTTACCCCAGGTAACACATTGAGTTATGGGCCGAGTTGGGACTTGAACCTGTGGCTTCTTTCCTAGCCTTGAAGCTCACCCCTTATACCAGGATACTCTTGCTGCTTTCTAGGAGCTCCCCCTTCCTGTTTCCTCCTCTGCAGTGCAGATGGTGCCATGAGAGGGAGCTTTCCCTCTGTTCTCAGGCCCTGACGAGGTCCCTCTTGGCCATTGGAGGCGGTACCCTGGAGGCTTGTGTGGGGGTGTGGGCTGAGCCGTGTGATCCATGTTTGCTATAATGGGAAGCAGCTCCCAGAAGAGAAAGACATGCATTTGTATGCAGCCAGTCTGATGGGGTTGAAATAAACTCAGCACTGATCAAACGACACACAGCCAGCACATTGCAGGGAAGACAAACCAACATGGAATGCTGATTTTTCTCACTGTCATCTTTAGAAACCTTCTTTCTTGTCGCCCACCGGGGCAGTTAACTGTTAGGAGCCAGCCCTGTGTTCAAATCCATTTATTGATGGATGTGTTTTCCATTTATCATCTGTGGGACTCTTGGGTGATGTTTCTTTTCCGAGCTCCAATTCTTTCATCTATAAACTGGGCATGTTAATGGTAACTCATAGATTTTTAGAGTTAAAGTAATGCAAGTGCCTTACACAATGCCTGCACGTATTAAACATTCAGTAGTAGGTAGGTGCTATTATCATCATCGAAAACATTATCATGTTTATTGCCTTATTGACTTGGATGAACACGGTAGTGTATATAATAAAGTAGCCAGTCTAGAATCTGGCCTGTGGTTATCTGTAATAAATGAAAGCTGTGGAAATAGTGTGGGATAACTCAAAGACCTGAATAATTCAGCAGATACAATGGAGTTGGAAGATTCTAGGGACTTAAATTCTTCTCCCAGCTCTGTCTCAAAATAACTGCATTGCCTTGGACAAGTCGCTTTGCTTTCCATAACTTCACTTTCCTCATCAGTGAAATGGGGCTGAGCATTGTGTGGTATTGGAAAAGAATAACTGAAGTGCTTAGTTCCATGCTGGAATGAAGTAGAGACGTGAGCAGTGCTGTCTTATCTGACTTACTGGTGGGATCAACATCGCTCTTCCTGGAGAGAGCCAGGTCATCACAAGAACCATAAATTGTGCGTATCCTTTAACTCCATGATAGACCCTTCAACTCAATGCTTTTATTTTCAGGGAAATACTGTCTCCAAATATAGACTCTAAAAGAAAAGATGGAAGGGGGTGGAACAGACTCTGCAAGAATCTGTTCATGACAACGCTGTTGAAAACAGCTCAAAATTGAGGCTTCAGCAGTGCCCAGTGTTGCCAGGTGTGTGTTGTGTTGTGCTGTATTGTGTGTGTTTCCACCACAGAGCCCTTTGTGGCTGTGGGACCTGTCAGACGCATGAGACGTGTAGCTTTCTAATTTATGGGGTGCACCATGGTGGCAAGTGTTGGTGATGGCCACACCCTACTGTTTTGATGGAAGGACAGTGACTTGGCCAAGGTTTTACAGCCGTGAAATGTCTCAGTGAGGATTTGAGCTCAGGTTTCTTGTGCCTGGGTCCTCCTTAGTGTGGGTCCTCTGCTCTGGCAACAGGCAGAGCACTGCTTTAGAGCCTCTGCGTGTCTGGCTGTGGCCTCAGGGGTCTAGCAGCAGTGCTAGAGCAGACCCAGCTTGTCAGATCCGGGGCTGCTTAGAGGCCACCTAAGTGATTCCTTTGGCAGCAAGCAACATTCGGCCAAGGACATAGCTGGCGGGGGCCCTGACAAGGGGTGTGTGAGTGCATAAAGGTTGGTGTATCAGGAGTAAGTGAGAAGGAGGAGGCCGGCTGGAATTTTACCCTTCAGTGCTTTTCTGTGTGTAGACAGAGATTGGGCGGAGGTAGGTAGGGACCATGTGTAGGTGGATTATCATCTTTTCCAGGCCTCACTGATGAGTGTCGTGCCTTGCAACAGTAGTGCTCAGGGAATCAGGCTCAGTTGCGAGAGGCTCCCGGCAGATGAGGGTACTGCCCAGAAGGATCATGGAGAGCTCAATGATGGAATGTTCACAAAGCTTCTGGCCCTAAGAGAGCACTCGGTGAGCATGGGTTGCCTGTCCCGTTCCTGGAGTTGGGGCAGGGTGGGACATTTGAACGAGGTCTTTGTAGCCATACAGCAATCATCAGGCCAGGATTCTGGGGAGAAATCCCCAATTTCCAGTAAGTTCCCCTGTCTGCACACCCGTGCTTGTACTGGGTCACAGCCCTGCAGATACATGTATGCATCTTCAAGAACATTAGAGTGGGATTTGGAGGCATAAAATAGCCTTCCATATTCCTTTGTTTTATACAGTATACATCATTACTTTGTTTTATACAGTAATTACAGTCTATAATAAAAGAAATGAGTCAATAAAATGGATAATTAGACATGTGGTCATTCCTAAGATTTAAGATCTAGAAATATGACAATTCAGCGCTTTAGTATCCCTCTGCTAAGACGCTTTAGTGGAAGCTCCACATTGAGGATAAAACTTAAACTCAGGCTGGTGCACAGATCCTCCCATGACTTGGCCTGAGCCTGCCTCCTCTAATTCATTTTTCTGATGTTCTTCCTTAACATTCTGGAAGACACACCTTAACACATATATGTTAGTTTTCTGTTGCTACTGTATCAAATCACCATAAACTTAGTGGCTTAAAATAATACAGATTTACTCTTTTATCGTTCTGAAGGTCAGAAGTCCAAAATCAGTCTCACTGGACTAAAGTCAGGGTGTTCACAGGGCTGTTTTCTTCTGGAAGCTCTGAGGGAGAATCCCATCCCCTTGCCCTTTTCAGCTTCTAGCAGCCACCTGCATCCCTTGGCTTGTGGTCCCATCCTCCATCCACAAAATGAATCACACCACTTTCTGCCTCCATTATCACACCAACATTCCCTCCGACGCCGACTCTTCCTGCATCTCTCTTATAAGGACCTTTGTAATTATATCAGGCCCAGCAGGATAATCTGGGATCATCTTCCACCTCTAGGTCTTTAATCATACCTACAAAGTCCTTTTTTGTTATGTAACGTGATACTCACAAATTTCAGGAATTATCAGGAGGTAATCTTTGGGGGGCATTATTTAGTCTATCATGATGTGTCTCTCTAGTCTTTTTTTATTTTATTTTTTTTTTTTTTTTCACTTTAGGCTCTGGGATACATGTCCTAAACATGCAGGTTTGTTGCATAGGTATACATGTGCCACAGTGGTTTGCTGCACCTGTCAGCCTGTCATCTGGGTTTTAAGCCCCACATGCATTAGGTATTTGTCTTAATGCTCTCCCTCCGCTTTTCCTCCACCCCTCTGATAGGCCCTGGTGTGTGATGTTCCCCTCCTTGTGTCCATGTGTTCTCATTGTTCAACTCCCATTTATGAGTGAGAACATGCGATGTTTGGTTTTCTTTTCCTGTGTTAGTTTGTTGAGGTTGATGGTTTTCAGCTTCATCAATGTCCCTGCAAAGGACATGAACTCATGCACTCTAGTCTTTGTACCTGGTGTTTGCACTTCCTGGAACACCTTTTCCTGCCTTCTTTGCCAGGGTAACTCCTAGTCACCCTTTAGAACCCCGTCTCAGGGTCTTCTGCTCTACAAGAAGACAACTTTGTACCTAATCTTTCTCCTGCTCCATTGTTCTGGCAATCTGCCCCTCTTCCTTGCTTATCTAATATCTTGAGCCTACACATCTAGTAACATTTACCTCACACTGTATTGTAGTTATAGGTTTATTTTTCTTGCCTCTGTAGTCCTTGGGGACAGGAGCTGCTGTAATTTGATGGATGCCCAGGATAACAGGGACCACAGCAGGAACCTTATCTCACACCATAGAGGCATCCCAAGGAGAAGCCCTTTGTCCTGATTTCCACGTAGCCTTCCTTGTTGGCCTGGAATTACATTTCCTCCTAGAAACTGCAGTCCATTGGGCTTCAGCTTGTCAAGGTCCCGTGTTTTCCTGTCCCTTCGACTGTCTAATTCCCTCTTTGTTGGTCTGCTGTAGATTAGCCTAAGTAAAAGTGAATAGACAATTTCCTATTAACATTTATATTGCTTTTCTTTTCTATTTCTCGGCAAGGCCCTGAAAACTAGGATGGCTGTGGAAAAATGTTGTTTTATCTAAATAATGTCCCTACTGGGGGCTAGATTCTGGCTTTTGGCTGGGCCTTGGAGAATGGTAGGTGTGGTGGACACATGAGCCCCAGGAAAAAATTAAGGCGCAGAGGTCAGTCCAGAAGCTGCAGATTACATTCAGCAAATGCATATTGAATGCCTACTATGTGTCTGCACCCATGCAAGGTCTTAGTGCATGTAATTCATATCTAGCATTTATTAAGCGGTTATTATGTTCCCAGCACATAATATGTGCCAAGCATTGTTCCTAGTGCTTTACCTTGACTTTTTGGAACAACTCTGTGAAATGCAGCCACAGTTATTGGAGGAGATGGCAGTGGAGCCGGCTCTTGCAGATGAGAAGGATTGGGACAGGTTTTTATGACAGAGGAGAGGAACACTCACACTAATGAACTAGCAAAATCGCAAGACACAAGTAGATTCAGACACCCATGAGCACAAGAGGCCGACACTCAAATATCCCCTAAGAATCTGATTACTTCATTGTGCCCTCCCCTTTTGAGCTGTCACCATGGATTCCACTTGCAGCAAGGACTGCCATGTTGCTTCCCTATATCCATTGTCCCTTTTCTGCTTAGGAACAGACTTCTGCTTACATTCAGGAGAGCAAAGCAGCCAGATAAATGACTGTCTCCCTGCCCCTGTGGCAGTTGGGCATGGCCATGGAACTTCAGGGAATCCACTTACAATCACTTTTGCTGTTGAGATGTGTCCCCGTTTTTGGCCTTCTCTTCCACTACTTTTGGCTGCCAGCCTGCAACAAGGATGTTGATGCTCTAGCATGATATTGGACACTGAGGGGCCTCAACCTAGAGCTGAGGATGGTAAAGCAGAATGTTGGGATCCAGGGAAGTCAATGGCACTGTTAAATCACGTTCCACCCTACACTACCAACCTCCTGACTTTCTGGATGTGAGAGAGACATAAAAGTCCCTTTGGTTTAAGCCACTGTTATCAGGAATTTATTGTCACGCGCTGCCGAGACTAATTGCAGTGGATGCACTGTTCTGTTTCCAGCAACCTCCTTTTCATCTGCAGAAGTCCACATTCCACCTTTGCTTTATGAAAACTTTTGGCCTCCAATTCCCATTTTCCTTTCCATCTGTTGCCGTTCTTCTGAAAACACCATCATGGACCCATCCAATCATGTATCCTGACAGCAATGTAAAGGCATCATTTCCAAGCATCTTCAGGTACTCTCCCTGTAGCACCTGCGTTCCCCTCCAGGCCGTGACCACTCCGAGTGTGATCCAGGTACAAAAAGCATCAGCATCACCTGGGAGCTGCTCAAGAAGACACAACTGCAGGCCCATCCCAAGATTATGAATCAGAGCCCGCATTTTAACAAGATCCCAGGAAATCCATGTTCCTCTTACAGGGTGAGAAACACTGCTGTCAACGTCTTTGTCCTCACTGCCAGCTGCTCACCTCAGACCACGGATGTGGAAATCCACTCTCGGGCTACACCCTCCTGTCCCTCCAGGTCTCTCATGCCTTGTCAACCTTTCCTACAAGCTTAAAAGGTACCTAAACTACTGCAGATTGCTACCCACTCTTCCCAGAACAAAATAATTGCTTTCACACTTCCCTGCTTTTGTTTCTGTTTTTCCCTCTACTCAGAATGTCCTTCAAGACCTCTGCCTACTTATGGGTTTCCTACTCACTCTTCAAGGCCAGCTCAGACACCGCCTCCAGGCCACCAGCATTTGGGGGAGAGGGACTGTGCCTCTCCATCAATAAGAGAGCACCACAGTGGGCTCTGAACAGCTTCTTCACCTATAAAATTCAGAGATGAAGTCCACCGGGACTCTTGGATCAGAATCAATCCTCTATTTCCTTGAACAGAGCATAGTTCTGGCACCCCCGCCAGCCCTCATGTCATCCCATTTTGCATTTTATTTAGTCATTTACACACATACCACTTTGGATTGTGAGGCAGCATTCAGCCTTCCGCATAGTGCCTGGTACACAATTAATTCTCTGGACATTGTAGTTAAACTTCAGTGAATGGTGACACTTGAGTGGTCAAGTTGATGGTAGATAGTACTGGGTGTTTTTCCTAGAGCATCGATTCTCAAACTCCAGCATGCATCAGAATGACCTAGAAGGCTTGTTGGAACCCCTTCTTCTCCCCAAGTGTCTGAGTTAGCAGGTCTTGGGAGGCCTCAGAATGTGCATTTCTAACTACTGTGTAGGTGATGCTGCTGTTCCCAGGACAACCCTTTGAGAACCACTGTCCTTAAGGAATACGTAGATTTGTTGCCTTTCCTGGAGGCAACAAATCTCATGCTCCTGGAGAGAAGGAAACAAATCTATGTACTCGTTAAGGACAGTGGTTACATTAGAACCTGCAATGTAAGTCAGTGGTTGCATCGGAACCTGCAATGTAAATCAATCTTGAAAATAGACAAAATAGACATGGGAATTAAATACAGAGAAATTAGATCAATGGATGAACCAATAGAGAAGTGACTGGGATCAAGAGTGCTTTGGAGTCTTGTTTTTCAATTTTTTTCCAAACAAATTCACCTAACCTTAGATGCTGCTGAGTGTAAGACATGGCATTGTTTTACATAAAGCCAAGAAATCTTTTAATTAAATCATGGCACAATTTTTTTTTATCCCTTTGAATCTTTCTTTTATGCTTATTGAAAGAACTATTTTAGACTTGGGTTTTTGTCATATTTTATTGCTATGCCTACACATAAAGAAAAGTATAGGCAAATATATTGGTTCAGATATTGCAAAAGCTTCTTTGCTTGGAATCTCACTCTTCAGAATCTGTTTTTCAACTCAGTGTCATCTCCTGCATCTGTCTACATCGTGCCGTCCTCTGCATCATCATGAGCATGGAGCATTTCTTATGAAAATCCTGTGAAGACGACACTTAACCCACTTTGCAGCTCTGTGGAGCTGGCCTCCTCCTGGCTCTGCTTCTAGGAATGTTGCTAAACACATCTGGTTCTCCATTTCTTCCTGCCTCTTCCCACAACCATTTGGTTCATAGCGGTTAAAAGAATGACTCCCTTCATTGTCTCCGGGATTTTCACTGAAGCCTGTGACACCCATTCTGCGAAGAGGTGAAGGCACTAGTGGAAACAGCTGTGTTACCCCTGCTGTGTGGTCTCCAGTGATTGCTCAAACTTTCTCGACTTCAGGGATGTTAGAATGTGAAAAATAGTTTTTCTTAGAAACAATAAAGCTTGTAAAATGCTCTCTACTTGCCGAGCAGATGTTTTCACCATCATGGGTTTTCATATAACCAGTCTCAGTTCATATTTACATCGGTTGTTCAAGGTCAGCTTTGGGAGGTCAGCCTACAGAGGAGGACCCCGAGTCTCTGTCAAACTTGCAGGCAGGCATTCGTTCACTCTTGAAAGATTTATGGAGTTCGTGCTATGTGCCAGTCACCAGGGGATAATCAGTGAAGAAATAGGTATATAAGATTGAGTCATTTAAGTGTTACGGGGAAGAAAGTAAGTCAGGGGAGCAGGGTGTTAGGGAAAGCTTTTTGAACAGACACTAGAGTGAAGTCAGGGTGCACAGCACACAAATATCGAGAGGATGCACGTTCCATCCAGTGGACATTGCAAGTGTGAAGTTCCCGTGGCAGGAGTGTGCTTGTCTTGTTGGAAGATCAGCAAGGAAGCCAGCTGGGCTGGATGAGTGGACGTTCAGTAAAGGTTCAGTAAATGGCCCTACCTGGGATGTAGCTGAGCTGAAATGTCCATCCAGATCTTTGAGTTCTAAGCTAAGGGTTTGTTGGCTGGGCGCAGTGGCTCACGTTTATAATCCCTTTGGGAGGCTAAGGCGGGCAGATCGCTTGAGGCTAGGAGCTCAAGACTAGCCTGGCCAACATGGTGAAATCCCATCTCTACAAAAAGCAAAAAGAATACAAAAATTAGCCGAGCGTGGTGGTGTGCCCCTGTACTCTCAGCTACTCAGGGGGCTGAGGCAAGAGAATCGCTTGAAACTTGCAGATAGAGGTTGCAGTGAGCAGAGATCACACCACTGCACTCCAGCCTGGGTGACTGAGTGAGGCTAAGGCGGGCAGATCGCTTGAGGCTAGGAGTTCAAGACCAGCCTGGCCAACATGTCAAAATCCCATCTCTACAAAAAAATACAAAAATTAGCCGAGCGTGGTGGCGTGCTCCTGTACTCTCAGCTACTCGGCAGCCTGAGGCAAGAGAATCACTTGAACCTTGGAGAGAGAGGTTGCAGTGAGCAGAGATCGCACCATTGCACTCCAGCCTGGGTGACAGAGTGAGTGAGACTCCATCTTAAAAAATAAAAAATAAGTAAGGGTTTGTCCACATGCAATAAAGTGTGAGAAGCCACTGCAGATTACATCCTTCTCTGTTTACTGCGGTGAGTTGAGTCTTTTAAGAAACAAATGTCTTGATTAATCCAGCCCCAGTAGCAAGGCATGGCAGAAAGATATGCTTATTGCTGTCATCTTTGTGCTGCCTAAGAAACACCCACAGTGTCTCATTCCTGAGCAGCGGTTTAACTCACCCAGGCAAGGATGACCACACATGTAGGGTGAAAAGGATGTGACAGAGAAATACAAACATTTCATTCCCAGTGTGTGTTCTCAAAATAGAATGTGGGACTTTCAACTCTTTCTTCTTTGAAGAACATTGTTGAGAGAAAGACTCTGCAGCGCACCGCAGAAGAAGGAACAGAGATCTGAGTTTTGATCCCAGCTCTGCCAATAATTAGCTGTGGGACTATAACCATTAGAGTTCAGTTACAGACAAGAGGATGCATGAGCTTCAACAGAAAGAGATGTATTTCCTTTTTTTTTTTTTTTTTTTTTGGGACAGAGTCTAGCTTTGTCGCCAGGCTGGAGTGCAGTGTTGGTCAGGATGGTCTCAATCTCCTGACCTCGTGATCCGCCCGCCTTGGGCTCCCAAAGTGCTGGGATTGTAGGCATGAGCCACTATGCCCTGCCAATGTATTGCCATTCTTAAGTGCCTTGAAGAATCCTAAGAGGCTAGAGACAAAGGTGAGAACCATATTGAACCAGACCACCAAGGAAACTGTGGTTAAGAAGCCATGGGGTGGCTGCTCCCTTACGGACCCTGCTGTATCTGCTGAGATCTGTATAAGCAGGACGAGAACCATACTTTTTGATACTTGAGAAGTTTGGGACTGGACTCAGAGCTCTAACGACAGCTGCCTCAAAAAGAAAATAACATCCCTTGTTCATGCTTGCCAGAAAACGGCAGCAGAAGCAGGCCCAAGGGCATCCTCTACCTCCTGGCATTCATTTTTGCCTCTGTCATCTCATGCAGGTGTGTCTGCTTGGTGGAAACTGGGTTTCACAACAGAGTCCAAGATGTAAAGGAGTTTGGAAAATGTCTAATGTGGCTTTTGATGTATGTAAGGGAAATATTTAAGGCAATCCTATTGTAAATGAGAGAGGATAAAGGGATACAATGGGAGTTAAGTGTGCTGCAGTTCACTCGAACTGGTAAAATGTCAGCCCCAGTTGACTTTGATAAATTATGCATATGTAATATAATACCTAGAGCAACTGTTCAAAAAGCTATACAAAGAGATGCATTAAAAACCACCATAGGTAAATTACAATGGAATTCTAAAAAATGTTCAAGCAACTCACAGGAAGCAGGAAAGACCACAATGAGATGCCATTTCAAACCCACCAGCATGGCTAAAATTAAAATAAAACAAAACTAACAACATCAGATGTTGGTAAGAATGTGTTGCAGCTGTATCTCTCACACATTACTGGTGGGAATATAAATGGTTCATCCCCTTTAAAGAAAGGTCTGCTGATTTCCTATAAAACTGAATAGATAGGCCTGTAATCCTAGCACTTTGGGAGGCCAAGGCGGGCGGATTGATTGAGGTCAGGAGCTCGAGACCAGCCAGGCCCACGTAGTGAAACCTTCTCTACTAAAAATACAAAAAATTAGCTGGGCGGTGGTGGCAAGTGCCTGTAGTCCTAGCTACTCAGGAGGCTGAGGCAGGAGAATCCCTTGAAACCAGGAGGCAGAGGTTGCATTGAGCCGAGATTGCGCCACTGCACTCCAGCCTGGGCAACAGAGTGAGACTCTGTCTCAAAAAAAAAAAAAAAAAGAAAGAAAGAAAGAAAGAAAGAAAGAAAAATACTGAATAGATATCTACCCTCTGACCCTTCAGTTGCAGTTGTAGTTATCGCTGGACTATGAAACTGTTATTGCAAAAACAGCCCAGGTATTCATCACTGAGAGAATAGATAAATAATTTGTGTTCCGTTAATATCATGGTATGCCACTCACCAAGCGGTCAGTAAAAACAGATTAGCAATACATGAAACAACTTGAATGAATTGCAGAAACTTGATGTTATGAGAGAAAGCTTACCCAAAGAGTATATACTTCAGGATTCCTAATAGATCGAGTTTGGGGACAGGAAGAACCAATCTATAACAAAGCTTAATCAATAAGGGATTGCCTATGGTGGGAGGATGCAGATATTGTCAGAGAAGGAGCTTGAGGGAACTTCCTCATCACTCCAGAACGTTCTGCATCTTGAAAAGTGTTTGGGTTACATAGGAGTATGCATTGTCAAAATTTTCCCAGTGATTTGTGCATTTCATTATATGTAACTTTTACCATGAAGGCGGGGAAAAAACCCATAAACATTATTGAATCCTGGTTAATGATATACATATTAAAATGCCTAGGAAGTAATGTGCTGCTGACTATCTTACTGTTTTGAAATGCATTAAAAAACCAAAGATGTGTTGATAGATGGATAGAAGGATAAATATGATAGAAGCAAATATGGTAAGAGGGTCTTGGTACATCACAGGGGCAGCTATATATATGTTCATTGTAGAATTCTTTCAACTTTACTGTGTATTTGGAATTTTTCATAATAAAATATTAGGGAAAAATCTGAAAATAAAATCTTAGGATGTGTGGTACCTTCCTTCATCTGCATCAGGTGGCAGTTGTTTGTTAAGAAAATCACGGCTGGGTATCCCAGCACTTTGGGAGGCCAAGGTGGATGGATCACTTGAGGTCAGGAATTTGAGACCAGCCTGGTCAACATGGTGAAACGCTGTCTCTACTAAAAATAGAAAAATTAGCAGGGTATGGTGGCGTGCGCCTGTAATCCTAGCTTCTCGGGAGGCTGAGGCACAAGAATCACTTGAACCCGGGAGGCAGAGGTTGCAGTGAGCTGAGGTCTTGCTGCTGCACTCCAGCCTGGGAGACAGAGTGAGACTCATCTCAAAAAAAAAAAAAAGAAAGAAAGAAAGAAAAAATTACTGCAGCTATCTGATCATTGCTTTATGGGACAAGGGTGATTTTTGCTGAATTGAATAGAGAGTATACAAAATTAAAATTTTAGGAGACTGAAATAACTGGGATTGGGGATGCAGCCTGGATATAGTATTCACTAAAGATGCTCACTAAGCACTTAATTAATTTATTTCTTTTACTTTGTAAAGATAAGCCCAAAGGTTCATTCTCTAATCTCATCCTTGCTCATGCCCCCAAAGTCAGTGCTGGCATGCAAACACGACCACTAGTCATCTTTTAGATAAGGTTCAATGCAAACATTTATAGTTGGAAGAGACTAGGGGGCTACCTGATCCTATTTTTTTCATTCTCCCTACTCCCTCCCTTCCCCCTCCTGTCTCTCCACACCTTCTCTCTCCATGTATGTGTATGTGTATGTGAATTTACCTAAATCAATTTGGTCATGGACAACTCTTAGCTGAATTTGTAGGTAATAGTAGTGGCCAAAAAGTTGAAGATGGTGGAACCTCAAACTAGAACTTTACTAACATATTGTGATGAAAAAAAAAATATTCCACCAGATTCTGCCACACAAAGAGACATTTATTGATCAAACGTTCATTAGTAGGCGCACAATGATTCAACCAACAGTAGAGATATGTCTCTGCCCTCTGTCCTTTCAGATGCTCTGACCACTCTCTTACAGAAAGGTTCACTAGAGGCAGGTGTGACACTGTGACAGGGACCATTGCTGTCACCCTCATAGTTGGCATTAGGCAAACAGAATTTCTCCTAAGCAGCAGCTGGAAACAGAATAGCTATGGATCACCCCTTAGACAGCATCGCTAAGAATGTTGGTGTCAGCCTCTCTAGATTTTCCTTCTGTGTTATGAAAAGGTGGGGAGTATCTCTAATATTACTGTAGCCAGTCCACGTTGTTGGTAGCACTTTATCTTACCAATGAGAGCTCTTTCCTAACATCTAACATGTCATTTGACAAGCTGCTAATGTCACCAGGAAAAACTGATTCCAGAATTCACTAGATCAAGACAGTGGTGACAGAGGGAGCCACCTCAGGACTGTATTGGGCCTCAAATACTGTGAGCAGATACTGCTCCTTCCTCCAGGGTGGGTCCCTGAGTAAAATGGTCACTGGCTACACCTGGGTTGCACTGCAACCTAAGACTTATGTAAAGTCTACCATGACACACAGGCACACCCTACAGCGTGCTTCTGGGTTGAGGTTTTCTTTTCTTTTTTCTCTCTCTTTTTTTTTTCTTTTTTTAATAGAGACAGAGTCTCGCCCCGTTGCCCAGGCTGGAGTGCAATGGTGTAATCTTGGCTCACTGCAACTTCCGCCTCCGGGGTTCAAGTGATTCTCCTGTCTCAGCCTCCTGAGCTGCTGGGACCACAGGCGTGCGCCACCATGCCCAGGCAACCTTCTGTATCTTTAGTAGAGACGGGGTTTCACCATGTTGGCCAAGCTGGTCTCCAACTCCTGACCTTGTGATCCGCCCGCCTCGGCCTCCCGAAGGCTGGGATCACAGGCGTGAGCCACCGCCCCAGCCATGGGTTGAGGTTTTCATAGTAGAATGACTCTTGTTTGTTTGTTTTAATTTGGTAAATTATATATAACACAATGAGAGCTCTTTCCTAACATCTCCCTTCCTTCCCTCCCTCACTCCCTCCCTCTTTTTAATTTTTTTTTTTTTCATTTCAGTTGCTTTAAGGTTACAGATGGTTTTTGGCTATAAAAATGAATTGTGTAGTGGTTAAGTCTGAGATTTTAGTGGACCTGTCACCCAAGTAGTGTACATTGTACCCAGCGGGTAGTTTTTTGGCTCTCACTCCCTCCCAGCTTTCCCGCTTCTGAGTCTCCAGTGTCCACTGTACTGCTCTTTCTGCCTTTGCGAACCGTAGTTTAGCTCTCACTTGTAAGTGAAAACGTGTGGTGTTTGGTTTTCTGTTCTTGTGTCAATTTGCTTAGGATAGTGGCCTCCAGCTCCATCGAGGTTGCTGCAGAGGAGGTGATTTTGTTCTTTTTTATGGCTGTGTAGTATTCCATGGTGTATATGCACCACATTTTCTTTATCCAGTCTACTGATGATGGACATTTAGGTTGGTCCCATGTCTTTGCTATTGTGAATAGTGCTGCAGTGAACATATGTGTGCATGTGTCTTTATAATAGAATGATGTCTATTCTTTTGGGTATATACTCAGGAATGGGATTGCAGGTTTGAATGGTAGTTCTCTGCCTTTTTTTCTTTAATACCTAAACTTCATAAAAAGTACATATGTCATATTTTTGGAGTGATGTGTACATACAGAGAATTTATACTTACATTGTAAAAATTGATACAGTACTTTTAGCAAAATGATGTGTGTGATAAATATTGAGTTACAGAACTGATAAAATTGGTAGAAAGTCAGAATGATATATACACATATTGAAAACCTTAAGCATCAGCAGAAGGATAATGAGGGTCTAAAATGGTGCCATTGGCCGGGCGCGGTGGCTCACGCCTATAATTCCACCACTTTGGGAGGCCAAGGCAGGCAGATCACCTGAGGTCAGGAGTTCATGACCAGCCTGGCCAACATGGTGAAACCCCATCTCTACTAAAACTACAAAAATTAGCCATTTGTGATGACGGGTGCCTGTACTCCCATCTACTCAGGAGACTGAGGCAGGAGAAACACTTGAACCTGGGAGGTGGAGGTTGCAGTGAGCCAAGATCGTGCTGTTGCACTCCAGCCTGGGTGACAGAGCAAAACTTCATCTCAAAAAAATAAAATAAAATAAATGTTGCTGTTATTGGGGAAGGCCGTGTTACTGCATGCATAGCCCCTGTTGGCTGATGGCTGCATGAATAGTTTTGAGATCAGGAAGCAGTGTTTTAAGCATTTTGCATCCTAACAAGAGAAGTTGTCATTTACATACAACTATCTAATGGTATTTTCTTTTCCATTTTGGACATTGATTGGAAAGGGAAGTGGGCAGTTTGCTTAGCATACAATAAATTTTAATTTTTAATTATAATTTATAATTTTAATTATAATTTGTCCTACTTAAAATAATAGGAGATTGGTTCCGTGGTAGCCTTTTGGCACAAAACATTTTATTTTCAGAAACAAATCAGTGATGTAATGAGGGAGATACTTTTCTCTAAGGTCTATTCAAGATACTGTAAACCCTCTTCACTTAGGAGAAAAGAAATACGGGGGTAGAGGGAGGAAGAGAACTGCTCTCCTAGAGTCCAGGGAGCTGCCTAGAGAAGACGAGAGTCCACCCCTCCTAGGCCAAGGCTGTTCTAAGTTCCATATGGGTCTTCCATTGTCTTCCTGTGAGACCCATTGAAGGATCTGACCCAGACGGTAGGAAGAGGCTAATTGTTAAGTGGATTCATGGCCTTTGCAAATGCTTATTAGAAATCAGCCATGATGGTCCAGGACATGCTGGGAATCTTAGATTAATGGGGCTTAGCAGATTTTTATGTCTGAACCTGCGTAGAGATGTATGGATGTGAGCAGAGAGGCATGCGTTTTGCTTGCTGACTGACTTGTTTCCTGCCCCATGAGGAGCCATATTCCAGTCTTGAGCTTGCGTAGTTTCTTACTGTGCAGTCAATATTTGCTGGTGAGAAATGAGCCCACTGGTACTGGTGCATCTGATCCTCTGCCGTGCTTATTCTCTCTGTGATCAATGTCGTGTGCATGGCTTGTAGTGTTAGGGCAGCAACAAATCTATTTTTAATTCCCTCTTCCTTCCCATCTTTTAGAAATGGGTGAAACCATTTCTCCTGACGAGTAAGCCTCTTCTCCTCCTCCCTCCCTCCCTCTCTCCTCCCTCCCTCAAAATGTCAATTGGATTAACATTTGCAGTTGTGGCTGCCTCCACATCTGCTAACAGAGCGTGGCTGGACTTTGGAAAACAGTTGCCCAGAGCCATTCTGGGGTTTCTATATTTATTTCTTTCAATGACATCCATAGCAAATTTGCACTGCTCTCAAGCCAAAGGTTGATTTGTTCCATGGGCTGCCCAGTCAACCTGGGGTCCCCCTGGAGATGAGGACTTGGGGTCTGGTGCCCTGCCAGCTCTGGTGTAGGTTCCAGAGCTAGGAAATAACTGGCAGGCTTGTTGTGGAGGCGCCATGGCAGGGTCCACATGAGCGCCTGCTCTGTGTTGTGGCACTAGTTCAGCGGTACTTTATGAGACCAGGAGGGTGATGGATGGAGCCATGGAAAGGTGTGGGTGGAGGGAGGGACAGGCATGTAGGCAGAACAGCAAGAAGGTGCCAGCCTGCAACATCGAGTGCCAGCCTCATCAGCTAGCGGGGCCCCTAATGTCAGATGGAGACAGCCCCCAAGCCAGCCTCCACCTTGGCTGCCTTTGTCAAGTGGGCCTCGGGATTTCTCTTACCATTCCTTTTTTTTTTTTTTTCCTCTTCTCTGGTCTCTTTGCCTTCTCACTCTGTCTGCCCTCACCCTACAAGGAAAGGTCCTTCTCCCTTTCTTTTCTTCCCTGTTTTCCACACTTCCCTCCCTCTTTTTCCCCAGGTCTCTAGTAGAAGGAGCATGAGGTGTGTTTGAATTCCACCTCCTGTTGATCTTTGGGAGAGTAACTCAGGTCAGGCTTCTTCCAGCCTTACCTGGGGATGTAGATACCTATTTCTGGGGTTGCTGGGAGGGCTGAATGACAAACTTTTATAGCCGTTACGTTCACATAGCACTTACTGGTGCTTCATGGGTATACTTAGTTAGTCCTGAGGACAGCCCATGAGATGGGGGCCATTATCTTCAGTTTATAAAGGAGGAAACTGAGGTCTAAGAACATTAACCAGCTTTCTGAAGGTCACGTAGCTGTTACTTCATTTTGCCTAACTTTTCTTTCTTTTTGTCATTTCTACTTTTTGGGTTCTGTATTCCCTCTTCCTGTCTCCATTTCCTTTCTGCCTTTTTCTTTTGCCCCAGGCAACTCAGGGCAGCCTGGCCACAGAGTACCCTCTCTTACCCTTCATACCCTGCGGAGCTTCCCCTTGGAAGCAGCCAGCATGAGAGGAATGGAGGACGGATGTCTAGTGATCATGTGGGAGTGAAAGCTCTGTAATGTGTAATGTGAAAGATGTACATTATAAGTATCTACAAGATTAGTTATTCATATCATTTTTCCCTCCTTTTTTTTTTTGAGACAGAGTCTCGCCCTGTCACCCAGGCTGGAGTGCAATGGCACCATCTCAGCTCACTGCAACCTCCGCCTCCCAGGTTCAAGCGATTCTTCTGCCTCAGCCTCCCGAGTAGCTGGGATTACAGGCACCCACCACCATGCCTGGATAATTTTTTTTTATCTTTAGTAGAGACAGGTTTTCACCATGTTGGCCAGGCTGGACTCAAACCCCTGACCTCGTGATCCACCCACCTCGGCCTCCCAAAGTGCTGGCATTACAGGTGTGACCTTCTGTCCATTTTAATTCTCCCCCACCTCACCTTTTTCTTTACATTTCCTTCTTCTGAGCATTTTGCCTATCTCTTCTTCTTTCTGTCATTTCTACTTTTTGGACTCCTCAATATATTCCTTCTTCCCAGTACCCATTTCCTTTTTGCCTCTTTCTTTTGCATTCCCCAAATCACTTCTCCCCTAACCCTGTTCCTTGCCTGTTTGGTTTTTGCCTTCGGTCACCTCTGTCTGTCTCATCTCTCTGTGTTTTATCTGTCACGATATTGGCCAAACCAAGCCCTGGAAGTGCGCTGAATGCGGCTTCCTGGGCATTCATCAGGGTGTGCTCTGGAGTTCTTCCTGCTTGAGCAACTGTGCAGCATCCACTGCTGCTGAGAATTTAACCTCACCAGAGTCAGGAAAGTTCTGAGATTTTGCACTCCTCATAAACTTAGCCAGCCTGACACACATGTGTGTACACACACACACACATACACACACAGGAGGGGGGAGAGAGAGAGAGAGAGAGAGACAGTAAATTTGTCAGCCCTTGCAGTAGCACGCATTTCTAAATATGGGCATAGTAGGAAGAGAGATGGTTACTGTGGGAACTATAACTTTTAATTTACTGGCCTGAAGCGCTAAACCAGGGCTTGATACTTAATGTAGTGTTTTTACATTTAGATGTGTGCTTAGGAAAGGCATAAAACTTTTCAAAGCTGGGGCCAGTGCTGGGGGAGGTCACTGAAGGAGGTTCAGGAGTGGTGGAAAAATTAGGGAGGTGGAGTGGGCCCACTGGGACCAATCAGCGTGCCCTACCAATCAGAAGTGGAAGAAATAGACACATTATGGACAGCACAGTTGGTCAGGATAGGAGGCTTAATGACCAGCCCAGCAAGGGAGGAAGGCTTTATGACCATCCCTCCACTTGCAAAGGAGACCAAGATCTGGAGAGAAAGGATGATACGGCCAGGGGAGGAGGCTGAAGGTGCATGACTTTTGGAAGTCTGAGTTCAAAACAATGCAGGGCCGGGTGCGGTGGCTCACACCTATAATCCCAGCACTTTGGGAGGCCAAGGCAGGCAGATGACCTGAGGTTGGGAGTTCAAGACCAACATGAACAACATGGAGAAACCCCATCTCTACTAAAAATACAAAATTAGCCGCGCGTGATGGTGCATGCCTGTAATCCCAGCTACTCGGGAGACTGAGGCAGGAGAATTGCTTGAACCCAGGAGGCAGAGGTTGCAGTGAGCCGAGATCGCACCATTGCATTCCAGCCTGGGTTACAAGAGCAAAACTCCGTCTCAAAAAAAGAAAAAATAAACAGTGCAACCTGCAAGGGATTTGGACTCTGACACTCTGAGCTTAAAGTAATGATGAACACTTAACCTACTGCTTCCTATGGGCTAGCACTGTTTCCAGCAAGTTAGTACTCACCCATTTAATCTTGACCACAGCTCTGTGAGGGAGGGACTCTTCTCACCTCTACTTTATAGGTGGACATTGAGATAGAGACAGCGTTCGAGTAGGATCTCATCCCAAGGAGCCTGGCTTCAGGGTTGGTGCATTTCATTATCTCTGTTTTGTTGCATTTAAATCCTGACATTGTTACTTACTTGCTGCGTTATCTTGGATGAGTTTCATCACCTCTTTGAGCCTTGACTTTCTCCCCATGAAGATGAGGGCAGGAATACCTTCCATGTGAGGTTGTGGTGGGTCTAGGGAGGGAATAAGCATATGGAAGTTCTCTGTAGGTATGACATTGTATTATGTTTACCATCAAGAGAGAAGGTGAGTGGAGGCTCCGTCAGATAAAGAATAGGACAAATATTAGTATTCGGTATTTTTACTTGTTAAGTGGGTAGCACTCAGGTTGGCATCAGGCCTACCTGGTGAACAGCAGGTTCTCTTCCCACCTCCCACCTCTTCCGTCTTCCATGTGAGTGGGTGCATCGGTCCCGAGCGCTCCTCTTCCCCTCCCATCTCTCCACACTTTCCCTAGCACGTGACATAACTGAGAAGTCAATAACACCTGCTGGGGTGTGTCAGCCTGGCAGAACTTCTGGCGTGGCTCTCAAGAACATGCGACGCCTCCTGGAACCTTCACTCATTCAACAAATGTCTGCTTCGTGCCTACTCTGTGCTCCCTGTTGTTCTCAGCCCTGGGGATATGTTAATGTCCAAGGCAGATGCAGTCTTTGCCCTCATAATACTTAGTTTCCAGTAAGAGAAATGGATAAGAACCAAGTTCTATCGGCTGGTAATGAATATTATTTAAAAAAAAAAAAAGCAGCAAGGTAAAGGGATGGAGACTGAGGCATCGGATGGAGAGTAGGATTTTAGAAGGTCAGAGAGGACTTCTTTGAAGAGGTCAGCTTGAGGCCATGCACGGTGGCACACGCCTGTAATCCTAACACTTGGAGAGGCCAAGGCAGGAGGATTGCCTGAAGCCAGGAGTTTGAGACCAGCCTGGGTAATGTGGCAGAACCCCATCTCTACCAAACAAAAAAAAAAAAAAAAAGGAAGAGGTGGTCATCTTGGAGCAGGAAGCCAAGCAAAGATCTGAGGGAAGAATATTCCAGATGGAAGGAGCAGCCAGTGCAGTGATCCCCAAGACAGAACAAGCTTGGCATGTTCAAGGGACAGCAACGAGGAAGAGATGGGAACAGAGAGTTAGGTCAGCATCCGTGATCGGGGGCCTCACAGATGCTAGCAAGGAGATTGAGCTTTGTTCCAAGTGCAGTGGGAAGCCACTGGCACTGGGGTTGCCAGATAAAATAGAAGACAGCTTGTTAAATTTGAATTTCAGATAAACGATGGATAATTGTTTAGTTTGGACATAATTGAACATCCTATATTTTTGTTTGCTAAATCTGGCAACCCTACACTGATGGGCTCAGAGCAGGGATCTGCTGTATGCAGAGAGCATTGGGCTGGAAGGAAAACTGCAGTCAGGAGACCAGGAAGAGAAGGGCGCCATAGTCCCCAAGACCAAAGCATGGCTGGTCTAGGCCATGATAGGCCAAATGGACATGCTGAGTAGTGTTTGGATTTGGGGGTATGTTGTGATACCTGTGCAGGCTTGTTAAGTTATTCATATCATTTTTGTTTTTTTTTTTTTTTTTTTTTTTTGAGATGGAGTCTTGCCCTGTTGCCCAGGCTGGAGTACAATGGCATGATCTTGGCTCACTGCAACGTCTGCCTCCCAGGTTCAAGCGATTCTCCTGCCTCAGCCTCCCCAGTAGCTGGGATTACAGGCACGCACCACCACGGCCTGGCTAATTTTTTGTATCTTTAGTAGAGACAGGGTTTCACCATGTTGGCCAGTCTGGTCTCGAACCCCTGGTCTTGAACAGGGGTTCGAACCAGGGGTTGTTAGTGGATTGGGTACACCAGGGAAAGAGGGCGGTCAGACAGAAACAATCCTAAGCTCCAGTTCACAGGGAGGGACATTGAGCATCTCAGGGCCCGGTCAGCTGTGCACCAAGTCGCCACTTGTTTGCCTGAGCCCAACCCACATATCTCTAGATGGGTTAGCTTTAGGTGCCCACAAGGAAAGAGAGTCGGCTGATTTAATTTGCCATGGCTTGCTGCATTTTTTTGAACTCTCAGTGAATTTATATGCACTCTGTATAGATAGATGAGTCGATAAATACTACCATAAATGAATTCATCATCTTTTGAGCACTTATCCTGTGCCAGATTCTCTGCTAATTAATTGCTCTGCATGTTTGTCTCTTGGTTGAGCCTCACAACAGGTGGGGTTGTGCAGTGATGGTCCACATTTTACAGCTAAGAAAATCAAGACTAAGGAGAGTGTGACACACATTCTACTGTATTTGCTTTATAGTGTCATGGTTATTTCTTTGTTTCCTGAAGTTTTGTTGGCACATGTGTCTCCCAGACCTATAGTCAGCTCTCAGTGGGAACATTGTTTAGATGAGGGCGCATCTTGGAAAGCTGCCTCAATCCTAAATGCTAGAATTAGAACCCAGTTCTGATTCCAGAACTTGATAGAGCAGTGTTCACAGACTTGAGTGGAAATAAAAAATACCTAGCAAATTTGTTTATAATTCATATGCTTGAGTCTCATGCCTAGGATTCTAGTTCAGTCAGACAGGGGGCATAACCTAGGAATCTGCATTTTAACAAAACCACAGTTGATTCAGATGCCATTATTCTTGTATCTGCTTTGGGAAATGCTGTAGGACTTTGCCTTAATTATGCCAAAGAGAAAACCCTGTCCCCCAAATGCTCCCAAGGAATATGACTGGGTTCTATAATTTGGATATTAGGGATGCACATTTGACTACAGGTTGATGTCACTCACATTCCTGTTTTTAGGCATTTGTACATGCTTTATTAGATGCCTCTAGGAAGTGCTTTGTTCAGCATTTCAGGCAGGATGGCTGGGATTTCTTTTGTATATTAATACCCCCTGGCATTTGTTCAGCACTTCATCCAGTGCCCAGGGTTTCCAGGTCACCATCACACTACCTCTGTCCACCCTCTTCTCATCTCCAGGGCATATGCCAGCTGCCCCAGTCACAGTCTTGAAGCTCTTGCCCTTTCCTTGTGTGTGTGGTTTAGGATGGGTTCCCATTGGCTGTGTTTCCATCCCATCTCATCTCAAGGGAAATCTCTGGTGTGAGGAGCTGGCAGTGCTAGGATTGGTCTGTGCTTGGTGGCTCCACCCCCCATACACCTGAAAATCCTCAGAATGAAACCAATGGTCATGGAGCCTCAGCAGACATCATTCATCACCTTGAAGAAGTGAAATGAAAGGTGAACAACCTTGGTTGAAAAAGTGGGGGAAGAAGTTGATCTGAATCAACTATGGTTTGTTAAAATTCAGATTCCTAGGCCACACACCCCCTTTTTGATGGAAAAAAGGGAAGGCCATCGCTGTAAGAAGCACATGGGGTTGGGTGGCATCCCGGGATGAGCTTTAGAATGAGTTCTCAGCTTCTTAGCTCCACCCTGGCTGGCTTGGCGATATTTTTCTTCATCCTTGCATGTCCTAGTGAGGAACTTATCATTATGCACACAGTAGCTTCTCCTGAGCTAGGTTCTCAATTTCCTCAGTTCCGCATGGAGTTACAGGCAACCAATAACTGTCCCTAAATGGGCCATCCCTTTGTTAATAGGCAGCGTGACTCAGGAGATCAGTGAAATACCAGATTCATTCTCAAAGGAAAGGTTCTCAGGGTGACTTCTATGGGATTTTCTCTTCTATCCGTCTTGTTTCTCGGGGGCAGATCAGGGCCTGTGGAAGCCAGGGGTGCGAAGGGTATAAATCACATGAGTAGTCCGAGGCTGAGGCCCTTCTCTAGGTCCTTGCACTCCCGTTGGCCTTGATAATTGTGTCATGTTTCTCTTACGTAAATTTGTTACCAAGGTGTTGGTGGTGGGGAGCAAGGTCAGAGAAGGGAGTGGATGACATAGAGAAGGGATTCCAGTCACACAACAGTGTTCCTTCCCCAAACACATTCCACATTCACCGGGTGTACAACGTGCAATGATTTCTGTTGTTGCTGACTTAAGAGCAAGCACGTTCGGTACTAAATCTTGCCTCGTGTCTTATTAAAGAGCAGCTCACTACAAAACTGTTAGTATCTCAGAATGGTTTACTCTCCACACCTTCCTACCCTCCTGGCTGTCATGCCAAAGGACAGTCTTCCAGCGAGGGCTGTCTTGCTGCTATTACTACAACCACTGGTGATGCTGAGATTGCTGCCATGGACCAGACTGTGGTGGCGCTTTACCTACAGTAAACCCCCAGCTCCATTCTAGTACTTCTGGACCCAGGCTGGGCTTTTCATCAAGGGCTCCAGAGAGAGTATACTCTGTTTTCTTGGTGTTGTATAGTCAACTTACTGGGAAGAGAAGGCAATGGACCCTGACTGGCAGAGTTCAGATAGTATCTCTGTCATTTAGTAACTATGTGTCTTTGGGTATATTGCCTAACCATTCTATTCCTCAGTTTTCCTCTATCTCCATCTATCTTCTGTCTATCGTCTGTCTGTCTGTCTGTCTGTCTGCCTGCCTGCCTAACCATTCTGTTCCTCAGTTTTCCTCTATCTCTACCTATCATCTGTCTGTCTGTTTGTCCGTCCTTCCGTCTGTCCATCCATCCATCCTATTGATTCTGTTATATATAATATATAAAGAGATTTATTGTAAGGAATTGGCTCATTCAATTATGGAGGCTGAGAAGTCCCAAGATCTTCAGTCAGCAAAGCTGGAGACCTAGGAGAGCCAATGATATAGTTCCAGTCTGAAAGCCAACAGACTCAAAACCCACAGCTATATTTCTGTTCAAGTTTAAAGGCAAGAAAAGACCAGTGTCCCAGCTCAGCTGTCAGACAGGCAGTTTCTTTTTACTCAGCCTTTTTATTCTACTCAGATCTTCAATTGATTGGATGAAGCCCCTCCCCGTTAGGGAGGGCAATCTTCTTTATTCATTCTACCAAATCAAATGTTAATCTCATCCAGAAATACTCTCACAGGCACACCCAGAATAATGTTTGACCAAATGTCTGGGCACCCTGTAGCCCAGTCAAGTCAATTTATTACCATGACAGATTGCATCGTATATCTTATGGTGTTATAAAATAAATTAAGAGCACAAAATGGCTAGAACAATTCTTGTCATATAGGAGACCATCAGTATATGTTACCCATTATCATTTCTATCATCATCTTTGTCTTTGCCATCATCATTGTTTTCATTACTAACCTGAAGTGGGTTGGAGCCAGCAAACTTGGGATGGGACCACTGGCTTTGTTCCCTACCATTGGTATGGCCTTGGGCCTGAGCCTCAGTAAAATAAAACCATATGTCTCTGGTTTTCCTCTGGGTTCAGATAGCATAGCAGCAAGCTCACAGCAGAGTGCCTGGCTCACAGTGGGTCATATACTTGCAAACATATTTGTACCAAGTTTTTACTCTATGCCAGCCACTGTGTGTGTTACTAGAGAATCAGTAATTCAAAGATTCATGGTTCCTGATTTCAGAGTACCTACTATTTCCCAAGAGCTTAGATGTGATGATAAAGGATTTCATACAATGAAAGAGTTGCGGAAATGGAAGATGGTATGAGGGCAGAGGAACCAATCAGGAAGTGCCAATGTCCACCAGCAGGAGTCAGGAAGATTTCTCATGGATTTATGATGAGGGGGACTTGAGAGTTGAGTAAGAATTTCCCATTTGGGGGCAATGGCAGAAGCCTGGGTGACAGGGAACAGCCTGGGGTGTCCTGGTGCAGGAGAAGAAGTGGGAAGGGTGGGAGAAGGAGGCCAGGGCCAGATCACAGGTCGTTTGGACACAATTTCTTCAATTTAGTGTCTTGCCATCCCAAGGTACAATTTTCACAGACCACTGTGTTAACGTCAATTCTTTTCATTTTAATATTACTTAAATGTGCAATTTGGTGCAGCCTCTGTATAGGGAGAGCCTGCATGAACTGGAGGAGTACAACAGATTTATATAATAAATTCTAAGAAAACTATAAAACTAACAAAGTTTAAGTTATGAGCACGTTAACGTGTCAGGTGATGCTGTGTTAATATGGTGTGGATCACTTTGGCATGGAATTTGCAGTGTCCACGCACCACACCATGGCTCATATTTCTTTCCAGCCAGAGAGCACCCAACCACTTTGCGTCAGATTCTTGGTCTTTGCATGGTAGAAGTGCATCATTTAGGCATCTAGCCTTTTCCTGTTATCTGCTGATCAGCCTGGGGCAGTTAAGGTAGTGGGTACAACCTGGGGCTAGCATGAGCATAGACTTAGGTGTAAAAGTGGGCTGTGACATTGGGCTCCGCTAAAAGATGACTGTCCAGATGACCCTGAATGTGCCTCTGTACATTTTTAAAAAGATAATTATCAAAGTAAGAATTGCAAATTAGCAAACACTTTTAGAAAACACAGAAACCCCAGCCACTATTGCATTTGAGACGTAGCATTGATAAAGAGAAATTTTGGAGAGATCTGGTGGATTAAATCAGACTAATATAGAGTGGGAGACTGATTATTGTTATTGTGCAAATGATGGTGATCTTTAATAGTATAGGAAATACTTATTCTAGCAAGTGCTTAAATTTTGCTTCTCATGTGCCAGGTACTGTTCTGAGAACTTTATGTATGTTATCTGTTTTAATCTTCACTATACCTGTATGAGGTAGATGTTGTTAGTATTCTATTTAACAGAAGAGGACGATGAGGCCCAGAAATCTTAAGTCATGAACCTAAGGATACAGGGTTAATAAATACCAGACCTGGGACGTGAACCCTGGTAGTTGGGCCCTTGACTCCTTGCTCCTAACAACTGAAAGTATGAATTAACATTTCAATGCCTGTTTTAATAACTTTCTACACAAATAACTAATGGCCCATTCACATCATCCCCTGCAAATGTTTTGGGGTGACAACTTGTTAAAATTTAATATTCAGAGCAATACAGCCCCAGCTATTTGACAATTTCAGATATAAATCTACCTTAAAGATGTACAAGTACAAATTATGCAATTTGATTTTTAAGTGCTTTTCTAGCAATATAAATAATAAAGTGTGTTGGAACTGGCAGGTATAGTACATTAAATTGAGTGCAATTAAAACACTGTGATATTTTTAAATTAACAAGAAAAAAATAAGTGGCGAAATTAAGAAACCTGAATCTGTCTTTGCAGCCTCCTCCAGCTGATAACTGGGTGGATGATTGCAGAGGGTATTAGTAACATTTATACTCTGGATTTCAAGTGTGATGGTTGTCACATTTAACACAAAGAGCACTTCAATTTCACTTCTGCATAACAGGCAGATGACATTTCCCACAACATAATCTTTTCAGTTTTTTTTTTTTCCTAAAGCAGATGATAAGGGGGTATTCTGAGAAGACATCTGAGTTGAAATAATGACTTGCCTTGTGGATAATGTCTCAATGAGACATCTGAAAGTCAAGATTCTCTTTGTTAGACGCAGGAATAATCTGCATCTTTCACACTCATGGGCGGCCTTCACCCTCTCCAAAAGCTAACAGTCTGTTCATTGGAAACCAGGAAGATGGTGCAACTGTTGAGGTTGTTTTTCACGACCTTCCCAAAGGTTTGATATGGACAGAGTGAGATCTGCTCTCAGCCGGTAGTTATTGTAAAAATAAAGGCTGATCAATACAAATTTGTGCATCAAAGGTCTCTTCTGCCCCCCACCCCATTCTGGAGTTAGAAATCTCCCAAAGGTTTGATATGGATAGAGTGAGATCTGCTCTCTGTCAGTAGTTATTGTAAAAATAAAGCCTGATCAATACAAATTTGTGCATCAAAAGCCTCTTCTGCACCCGCCCCGAGCCCCATTCTGGAGTTAGAAAAGTTCAGGCGTAGATCATGGACTGATTTTGTCATACACACACCTGTACCTCTGCATTGTTTCTGAATGTGTTTTCCCTGGAACGGACCATCTCGCTTACTTCTCCACTTACTGCCATTACTTAGGGCCCTTCATCAGTGTTCACAGACTCCAAGGGAACTCTGTGTTTAAAACTGGATGTATGACCTGAAGCACATTGTTTTGAGTGGAACAAATCAGGGCCATGAGCCACTTTAGACTGGAATGTGATCCCCTCCATTTGAAGTCCCCACAGCTGCCGTAATAAAGTACCACAAACTGGATGACTGAAACAAAAGAAATTGATTGTGTCCCGCTTGTGGAAGCTAGAAGTCCAAAATCAAGGTATTGGCTAAACCATACTCCTTCTGGAGATGCCAGGGAAGGATCTGTGCCAGGCCTCTCTCCTAACTTCTTTTTTTCTTTTGTTTGTTTGTTTGTTTTTTGAGACAGAGTTTCGCTCTTGTTGCCCAGGCTGGAGTGCAGTGGCACGATCTCGGCTCACTGCAACCTCCGCCTCCCGGGTTCAAGCAATTCTCCTGCCTCAGCCTCCCGAATAGCTGAGATTACAGGAGCCTGCCATCACACCTGGCTAATTTTTGTACTTTTGGTAGAGACAGGGTTTCATCATGTTGGCCAGGCTGGTCTCGAACTCCTGACCTCATGCAATCCACCTGCCTCGACCTCCCAAAGTTTGGGATTACAGGTGTGAACCACCGTACCTGGCCTTTCTCCTAACTTCTGATAGTTCTTTGGCTTGTGGCAGCATGACTCCAAGTCTTCACAAGGCATTCTTCGTGTGTGTGTGTGTGTGTGTGTGCGTGTGTGTGTCTGTCCCCAAATTTCCCCTTTATATAAGAACATTGGTTATAATGGATTCGTGGACATTTCTACTCCAGTATGACCTCATCTTAACCAGTTATGTCTTCAACAGCCTTATTTCCAAATAAGGTCACATTCTGAGGTGCTGGGGCTTAGTACTTCAACATATAAATTTTAGGGGTGGGACACAATTAAATCCATAACGCTCTGTAAGGAGCAAAGTGTCTGGCACATAGGTGATTGATTTATACATTCATTGTTCATTGATTGAATATCTGAGTGCTTGAGTCAGGCACTGTTCTAGATACTGAGAATAAGGGGATGACCAAAATAAACAGACTTCCTGATCTTCAGAAGCTTTTATTTTAATGGCAGAGATAGATATTAAACAAAAAATATTATCTGGAGAGTTCTGCAGGTGGCCGATTCTGGGGTCCCCACCGCTACCTGCTGAATTGAAGGGATCCGGGCTTGCTATCTATTTTTTATACAAAGCTCTAAGGTTAATTCTGCTACACACTCAGGGTTAAGCATCGCTGTCCTAATGCACTGGCACTATTTCTGTAGTGATCAACTATTTCGTTAGATGCGCATCAGGGAAAGTGGATGGGCAATGTACTTCGGTTCCCAGCACAGTGTCTTGACCATCGCATGGCAAAACGGTCGCAGATGCGCCTCTTCCTCATGGTAGTCATGCAGGGTTCTGTCCCATGGTGCGCTCTGCTCTCATTCGTGGAGGGTGTGTCATCTTACCCACACTCTCCTCGGATCTCTGAATGTCATTAAGAAATGCTGAGAGATCTGGGTCAGCTTGGAGAAGCAGGAAAGAGAGAATTAGCTGCTAGTGCCAGTGCTGAAAATAGAACTTGAGCTGAGGTTTATCTTCTCGTCTCCTAAGAACCACTAGAATGGAGAAATTAAAGACAATAATGAGGCTTCCTATTCTAGCATCTTCCTAGTGCACTTTTATGTAAAGTGAGGAATTCTTTGCGATGTCAGTCACCCCTCCTCCCCCAAATGTTCTGTGTATGCATTTAGGTGGTGGTTTATACTAGGTTGTCTGTGTTACTTTAGATATTTCATGGTATCCATTAGCAACCTATATTAGAATATATGGTCAAATTCTTTAAGTCAAAGAGGAGGGCCCAGCTCGAGGTATTGTTCCTTCTCACTCTGTCCTTTGTAGGGATAAAAAGCAGCTTTCCGCAGCTGTGGAAATAGTATCCCTTTACGTAAAATAAGAACCCTTTCCACATGCATAATATTGTAGTTTTACATACTGGATTTCTCATCTATATGACTGTCACTCTTATTTGGTCTCTTTTTGAGCTCTCCAGATTCTTTCTGAATTGAGTAAATACGTCCCACTTCTTTTACATAAATTTTACAAATGCGTTTTTTATTCCAGTTGGTTTCTGTTCCTCTGATCTGTCTGCTGGTTTTCTCATATTGTAGATCCCAATCGTCTTCTCACTTTTCCTGATATTAGACACATTGAGTTGTGTGCTCACCTGTCAAGAATTGACTTTGTCTCTAGCTCCTGCATTCTGAAATATGTCTGGTACTGGAGGACCGCGTTCCATCTTTGGCCATAACTGGACTAAGATTGTACCTATAACCCATGCCTAGCTAACTCTTGTGCTCCCATGTGACTAATCGGGTCTCAAGAATTTGGACAGACAAACAGGGTGTAAGCTGTTGGTCTGGACAGGAGAGGCTGACTCAGGGCAATGGTACCACTTTGGCAGGCATCCTTGTTCCCATGTCGACTGGAGAGGCAGGCACCCTTGGGCAAAAGAATTTATCAGCTGGTAGAAAAGAGAGAATGCTGCAAACCCCAGATAAAGCACAAGTGAGAAACCCTTAGGCTTCTGACTGAGGGCCATGGTGGGGCACAGGGAGAGAAGAGAGAAGGAGAAAGAAGGAGAGAGGAGATAAACAGTGATGGAGAAAAAATATGGAGACAGTGAGGGAGGGGTAAGGGGGAGATAGATGGAAGAGACAGAGATAAATATGGAGAGATAACTGTCGTAATTTCCAGTGGGTTTCCAGTTCCTGCAAGAATCAGAATACTTTGTTCCTCTACTAGTTCCATTGTTTATGTGTTTATGTTAAACTGTCCTTTTTCCTTGGGCCAGTTCGAGTGAGTTTTTCTTTTCTTTTTTTTTTTTTTTTTTTAACTCCTGAAAGACTGTGGACTGAATCACACTAGGAGCTGTTACATCTTGAGAATCATTTTATTATCCTCCCCCGTCTTTTTCACTAAGGAATTGTTTCTCATTTATTAAGCAATTAGCTGCAGGGGATGGTGAGAAGAACCTGAGCATTAACACATCAACACACCTGGGTTCTAATGCTGGCCCTGCCACTTGTGAGCTGGCTGGCCCTGTGCAAATGGTCGAAGGTCTCTGAGCCGTCGATTTTTTTCTTCTGTAGAATGAGGATAAATGATATTTGCTTTACAACATAGGGTTTTATGAAAAGTAAAACTTTTGGAAACATTTTAATTTTCCTTCTTTTGTGATATTGAAGCTCTATCTTATTGCTTTGAAGAATCTGAGAGGTCTTCTTCTTGACCTTTAAGGACAGGTTGCCAAATTCTGGCCTGCAGGTTAAATCTTGCTCTCTACATGTGTCTGTAAATATACTTCTACTGAAACAGAACCATGTCTCTATCTCTGGTGGCCACTTTCAAGCTACAGTGGCACCACTGAGTATTTTGGCCCACAAAGTCTAAAATATTTAGTATTTAGACCTTTGTAGGAAAAGTTTGCCAACCCCTGTTCAAGGATCTTACAGTCTTGATGAGAATTAATACAATGTTCTTCTAATATACATGTTGTTTATTATTGTTGATTTTCTTATTTTTTTTTTTTGTTGGTGGTGTTTTTCTTTTCCTGTACCTGCTGATGGCAGATATTGTAGATTTAGCTTTTTATTTTATTGTATAGTTTTCTTGGTCTTTGATATGTATTTTGGCTTTTCACTTAGAAGTCTGGTATATTTTATGTCATCCTCAGTTATCTATCACTATTGTTATAAAATGCTTTTAACCAGCCAGCTTTTTTTTTTTTTTTTTTTTTTTTTTTTTTTTGCCATTGAATCTGTAACATATGATGTGTAGGTTTAACCTGCTGGACGTATTCTCTGATGTGCAAATAATTTGATGTGGTTGGTGACAGCTCTCAGAGGATTCTCCCACCTGCTGCTGACTGGCTTCTCATTGTCCAGTTTCATCTCCAGAATTTGGTCTCTTTAGGGTAAACTCAAGCTGTGACCTAAGTCTCTGCAGCCGGTATAGTGAGCAGTGAATCTGCATAAGCCACTTTTTGATGTTTTGTGCAAAAATATCTTTTGTTACTAAAATATCACTCTACAACTTGTACTGCTAGTGCTTTTAATGCATAAAAACATAGAACTCTCTTTGGAACCAGAATTTAAATAAGTACTTAAAAAAAAAAAGAAAACCTCCAGGCTTTATAAGAGGTATGGTTTGGTGAAAATGTCGTGGATTTTGGAGACAGATTTTTGTTCACACCTGAGGCCCTTTCACTTACCAGCTGAATGACCTTGGGCCAATTATTTAACTTTCCAATTATTTAACTTGTCTTACTTTTAATATGCTGTCCTCTAAATTGGAGTGAACACCAATTGTAGAGGCTGTTGAAGGGATTAACTGAGAAGATACCTATAAAGCAGTTTGGGTCATAAACGCCTTTTGTGAGGGGAGTGGTTATTGGAGAGTTATTTAGAGACAATTCCTTTGGCAGGTGACTCAAAATTGTGGTACCAGGTATAATAGAACTTCCTTGAACCAGAAGTCTTCAGAGAGAACCAATTTGCCGTTGTCATTAGGTCAGGCAGCTCATCGCTGGATCTCCTTGTTCACCCTGTTTCACCCACACTGGCCTTCGTTTTGTCTTATTTTGTTGTTTTTTGTTTCCCAAGTACATCAACCTCTTTCCTACCCCACGGCTTTTATACCTGTCCAATCAGAGATATGTGCTGCTCTGCCACAGTCTATGCCCTACTTCCCAGTTATTCTCTTCTTATTCATTCCCTCTTGTTCTTCAGTTCTTGGATCAAATCTCACTTTCTCAGGCATGCCTTTCCTGAACCAGTCTTGGTCAGGTTCTGCTCTTGTGTTCTTTTTTTTTTTTTTTTTTTTTTTTTTGATGGAGTTTCGCTCTTGTTGCCCAGGCTGGAGGGCAGTGGCGCAATCTTGGCTCACCGCAACCTCTGCCTCCCGGGTTCAAGCGATTCTGCTGCCTTAGCCTCCTGAGTAGCTGGAATTACAGGCATGCGCCACCATGCCCAGCTAATTTTTTGTATTTTTGATAGAGGCGGGATTTCGCCATGTTGGTCAGGATGATCTCGAACATTCGACCTCAGGTGATCCACCTGCCTCGGGCTCCCAAAGTGCTGGGACTACAGGCATGAGTCACCGCGCCTGGCCTCTTGTGTTCATTTTTAAGCAAACAAACTTTTTTTTTTTCTGAGCCCCTACTATATGCTGGATGTTGCAGATAGAATGGAAATTTAAAACATACACTCCCTCTCCTCATTTGAAACTTCTGCACTCAGCAGAAGAGAGAGGTATTGCAAGCATGCAAGCATACAGATAGATTGTGATATCACTGCAATTGAGCTCCACAGAGGAGAAAGCCATGCTGCCAAGACAGCTCATGAAGTCAACAAATTGGGCGTGTTGGGGATTTCAGGGGAGACTTTCCTGAGGTTGAGGACCATGGGCCTTTATCTGAAGGACCAATGGGAGTGTGTAGACAGAGATCCTGGAAGAGTGATCCATGCATTGGGAATGGCTTGCAAAGGCCTGGCAGTGGGAGAGATGGATGAGACAGTTTGCCATACCTGGGGCACTGAGAGTGGGAGTGCCATGCTGGGAAGTCACTGTCGGCTGAGCATGCACGGCCTTGAGTCATGCAAAAGAGTTTCGCCTTAGTCTTTTGAGAAACTAAAGCTGCATGGAGGGCTGACAAGATCAGATTGGCATTTTGAACAGCTCCCGCTGTGCAGAGAATAGATTGGGAGGCAAGAGTGGATTCCAGTTAAGGACATGATAGTAGGTGAAATAAGCCAGTAATAAACAAGTAAAGACTATATGATTCTATTTATGTGAGGTTCCTAGAGTTGTCAAAGTCAGAGCAACAGAAAGTGGAATGGTGTCCACCAGGGGCTTGGGGGAGGGAAGAATGGGAAGTTGGCTGGGTGTGGTGGCTCACACCTATAATCCCAGCACTTTGGGAGGCCGAGGCAGGTAGATCACATGAGGTCAGGAGCTCGAGACCAGTATGGCCAACATGGCGAAACCCGTCTCTACTAAAAATAAAAAAAATTAGCGGGGTGCAGTGGCTCACACCTGTAATCCCAGCACTTTGGGAGGCTGAGGCAGGTGGATCACATGAGGTCGGGAGTTCAAGACCAGCCTGGCCAACATGGCAAAACCCCATCTCTACTAAAAATACACAACACACAAAATTAGCTGGGCGTGGTCGTGTAACCCAGGCAGGTGGATCACATGAGGTCAGGAGTTCAAGACCAGCCTGGCCAACATGGCGAAACCCCGTATCTACTAAAAATACACCCACAACACACAAAATTAGCTGGGCGTGGTCGTGTAACCCAGGAGGCTGAGGCAGGAGAGTCCTAGAACCCAGGAAGCAGAGGCTGCAGTGAGCCGAGATTGCGCCACTGCACTCCAGCCTGGGCGACAGAGCAAGACTCTGTCTCAAAATAAAAATAAAAATAAAAAAGAATGGGGAGTTTTTTCATGGGTCTGGAGTTTGTGTTTTACAAGATGAAAAAGTTCTGGAGATGGATAGTGATGATGGCTGCACAGCAGTGTAAATGTGCTTCATGCTACTGAGCTGTACACTTCAAATGGTAAAGATGGTCAACTTTATGTTACGTATATTTTACCACGATTAATAATTTTTTTGACAAGAATGGATGCAAGGGGATCAGCTGGCAAGCTGTTGCAGCTGTCAGACAGAGAGACCTGCTGAGAGTTTGGGATGTGGAGTTGTGGGTGGAGATGGATCTGAGAGGTGAGAGGGGATGAATTAGCTGTGGTGCAGTTGGCAGCATGGAAGAGTACTGCTTCAAGGGAGGTTGTGGGTCAGGCTTATTCAACTGGTGGGGCCATTTACCAACACAGAGAATTTTTTTTGAGACAGAATTTTCACTCTTGTTGTCTAGGCTGGAGTGCAGTGGCATGATCTCTGCTCCCTGCAACCTCCGTCTCTCAGGTTCAAGCAATTCTCCTGCTTCAGACTCCCGAGTAGATGGGATTACAGGCGCCCGCCACCATGCCTGGCTAATTTTTTTGTATTTTTAGTAGAGACGGGGTTTCACCATGTTGGCCAGGCTGGGCTCAAACTCCTGACCTCGTGATCTGCCTGCCTCAGCCTCCCAAAGTGCTGGGATTACAAGTGTGAGCCACTACACCCGACCAACACAAAGCATCTTGATAACAATCTCTCAGAGCACCCTGTACTTACCGCAGTGTAACTAAATAATTATTTGGGCAATCGATTGTCCTCCTGATGAGCTGTAAAGAACACACAGGTAGAGACCATATCTGCCTTCTTCACCAACTGTCTTCAGCACCTGGCATATTGTCTTGCACATAATAGGTGCCGTATAGATATTTATGAAATGCAGATGATTTGGGGTATTTTAAATCTACTTCTCTACCAACTCCTTTGGTTCTTAAGCTTATTTCTAGCATTGAGTTTTTACATGTCAGCAATGAGAACAGACTGAGAGACACAGGACCAGGCAGAAAGAGATCAAAATATTACTTTTTGTTCCAACAGTTTAGAGAATGTGTCTCAACCAGATAGACTTACTTCCCCACCCAAATTGGTCAGGAGCATAGCAAACAGTATCAAGTCCTCTCCTAGGAACACATGGCACATACTGTCTACAGGCAGACAGACCCTGGAAGAACAGGAGAGCAGGGCTGGCTGAGCATGGAACCAGGAAAGTCTTTCTCACAGACTTGGCAATCAGATGTCACTCCTCTTCCCTAGGAAGGAAGTGGGGGCAAGAGGTTAGGCTTGTTGCTCTGCTAGAGCTCACTCTTCATTGAAACCTCAGGAATGAGGTGGAAGGGTTAATAGATGGGATAGCTTTTCTTGCTGCAATTTTCGGTTTTTCTGAGGGAGGTGTTGTGAGTGGCCAAAGTCTCTGGTCCTCTGACCATTTTCTGTCTAGTATAAGAAAGAGCGTGAGAGACACGTGGGTACCTGTCTCCTCTTCTGTGCTTATCTGGGACAGGCTTTATAACATCTCTCTTCGTAGGTCTTCTTCTTTCTAAAACCCAGGGGTGTACATGATGATTTTTTTATTACCTAATATGTAGCTGTTTCCTAACTTTTGGAACTGCCTGATAAATTGGCTGATAGAGCAAGTGTAGCTTAAGATTGATAAGTATTTTTTATGTGTGGTAAGAAATGTCTCCTAAACATAACATTTGAAAGGTAAAACATCTTCATGTAAAATGTTTTAGGAGATGAATTGTCAGTATTCTTTATTGTCAAGTATATCACACATACAGACAAGAATGGCCACCATTCTTAATCCATTTATGCTGGAGGTTGCAATTTTTTGAATTTTTGCAATCAGACCTTGGCGATGACCTTGAACGGTAGGATATCAATAACTCCCACATGCTTAGTGTTCCAATAATGGAACACTAGGCATAGATGGGTTGAAAATCTTAAACGATGCTTAAGAGAAAGGACAACATAACTTTGATTCTGCATGCTGAACATATTGCATCATGAAGTTAAGCATTTCAGATTTCACCATATAGCTCTTTCTCTTCATAGCCAAATGTTGTGTTAGGGATTAGAGAATGAACGGTTCTAGCTCTATCTAGCATAAGCTTTGGTAATAATATGGAACCAGGAAAGGAGACATTAACAGCTTGAGGGTTTGAGGCAGGACTCAACTTTGCTGTAGATTGACTAATTGTAGAGTATGAAACACACATACGTGAATGCTAGGTAATAACTTTTCTTCGTAAAGCATTTTACACTTTACGTATAGTATTTACTTTGGTTCAGTGTTTAGGTGTAATTGCAGGCCATTCTCTAGACATCTCATGATGGCTTTCATCTCACTCAGTATGGACTCAGCAGTGTGGTATCTGCATGATAGATGGTGAAATGTAGCCATTCTGGGAACTGGGGAAATCCAGTAAAACTCAGGTGGTGGTGTACTTCCTGCAGCAGGGAGGTTTAGAGGACAACTCTTTTTTAGCTCCCCCTGGCCTCAGGATAAAGTTCCAAGTTTTTTGGTGTGCCTAGAAGGCCCTCTGGAATCTGATCCACTTGTCTTTCCAGCATTTTCTTTCACTGGTCCCCACTTCGACCAGGGCTTGAGTCCTATCACAGTATTTTATGTTCACTGGAAGCTCTACTCCCTCTGATCTCCAACCATAGGATCTCACATTTTCTCATTTTTTGGTGCCTTTGGCATCTCAGTAATTTTTTCACAGCACCCGTAGGTAAAATGAAATACCTATTTTGTTATTAAGCATTTATGTCCTAACAACTTAGTAGCTGTCTGAAAAAAAGGATACATATAAATTGAAGGGAAAAATACCATTATTTCACTCTTATCCACATTTATTTGCTTATGGGATGTATGGACCTGTTGGGCACTGTACAATTTTTCAAACTCTGGAATTAGATTGGACAGGCGTTGCACACTGATTTCCATGCAGTTATTGTTTTTTATCATAGCAAGTTCTGAAAATTCAGCTGTGTTTAAATACAGCCACCAAAGGAATTAGTGCATTCTAATGTTGAAACTGTGAACTACCTCGAGCTAATAGTTGAGGCTGTGTCCAGCATGTGCTGAGAATTGCTGCACTTCTCTAGAAGTTTTAAAGTATCCTGCGGTGCCCCCGTGGGTCCACTTTGGCACCCTGGGGCACCTTGGCACACAGTTTGGGAACCATGGTTCTAAGATGTTGTATATGCCGTTTCCTCTGCTTGAACATGTCTCTCAATCTAGCGTCTTGGTGCTCACCTTTCTAATCTCAACATGTACGTGATGAGTCCTCGAAGTTTTTCCCTTAATCTTTAAGACTGAGCTGGGAGGTGCTTCCAAATGCTACTTCAGCACTCTGTCCTTCACCCTGCTATTTTTCTCTTTGCAGTGTGATTTTATCTTTTTTCTTCTACTAGGCTTTATAGTGATTGATAGGGAAAGGGACTCTGTAGTGACACTGCAGATATTTCATAAATGTATGAATTTAATGAGTGAATGAATGAGTGAATAACTGCTATTGGATCTTAACCAGAATGAGCTTGTTGGCTGGAGAAAATCAAATAAACAAACAGGTTGACAAGTACAGGGCTCCTTTCATTTGTAGGAGAAGAGTTTTTGTAAAATCCTGACCTTGGGGACTTGCAGTGTCTCTTGCATCCTGCGACCTCACATCCTCTTTGGTTACACACAACGGCACTCCCTAGTTATAGCAAAAGGCCTCATGAATTATAATACCAACAACAGTGCAGGTCAATGTGAGCCTTTTGCATTTATTCATGTTGTGAGACATTGACCCATATGCATGTCTCTGTTGAGAAATTGTAGGTATAACTTGCTTCAAATGTATGTGTTCTTTCCTTTAGAGGGAAATATATTAAGTTGCCTGATGGCTCAGACTCCTGGCATATTGCAGCATTACAGAAAATACAGATGTGCTGCAGTAATTTAATCTAGAGGTGATGGAGGCTTGGGGACTCTGGCGCAGCTCCAGTCACAGGGAGCAGATCTTGGGCTTTATCCCACAGCAGGTGGGAAAGGTCTCCCCAGGCCTCAGCTAGCAGGTATTTCTGTTTCTGGAACTAATAGAACATCAGGAACCTTCTGATAACAATGAGTATCAAGGAAGAGGGATGTGCATTTCCTCCTCCAGACCAAAAGAACTCAGGTGGCTTTTCTGAGCTCTGTGGACATTGTTTTGCTTTAGTTTTGCCTTATCCCTATAATAGGAGGATACTAATGTTATAATCTACCAGAGATGGCTGTTTTTATTACTAAATTGAAGAGCATGGTGCATGAATGTTGGCCAATAATAACAGTAATAGTAATCTCAGTGAAGTCCTGTGCATCTCCACTTAAGGAGAACATCATGTCCTATTCCCTTAAGATTTCCTGTTTTCCCTAGGCCTTTCCCATAGGCTTAAAAATGCATTTTCAAAACAGCCCTGAAAGATAGATGGAAAGCTATGTTCCCAGTTAATTGAAGCTGAGGGATATAAAATTACTTCCCCAAAGTCAACATCGCTAGTAACTCTTCTGAGTCCTCCTTTGTAATGGCTCAGTTGCTGCAAAGCAAGGGGAGCCTTTTCTCCACTCTGCTGCCACTCTATGGGCCTGGGAGATGCCAGTAACGTAGCCTGAGGTGTTAAGACTCAAGGTTGGCTGAAATGTTTCATGCAGAAGGACAGAGGTCTGCTGAAGGGTCCTTGTGAGTGCTGCAAATTAACCCTCTCTTGCCCTTCCATTATTGCGAGGGAGGATCTGTTTCTATCCATCTTTTTACGCCATTACATACTTACACTACTTCCAAAGTTAGAAAGGTGAGAAGAAGCAGCTAAATGTATACTAAAAGCAGGTTCAGGGAATGGGAAATAACAAAGAGGAAAGGATTTGATTATCTCTGGGGTCCTGCTTTCAACCTTCCTGTAGATCTTAGGCAAGTGCCTGTGAGTCTCTGGGTCTCACCTGCCTTATGTAGAGTGGGCACAATCACTCTCTCTTCCGTACCTGCATCAATGGACATGAGTGATCAATGCACTAGCACAGCCTCAGATGCTCCAAAATCTGTCTCCAAGTTCCGCCGATCTAAAGGAGTATTATTTTTCTCAGAAGCATATGGGAGTTTATTTCAGAGAAGCACCCATACTTTACAGGGAAAGTGACTTAACCGATATAATAAGGTAAATAATAAGTTGTCAAGCCCTTATCTCATACTTAGCTGGAGCAGCTAAATGCCTCTAGTGCTTCATCTCATTTATTCGACAGTATCACAAGGTAAGTGCTCAGTGGAAGATCCTTAACTCATCTCCACTGAAGAACACATCCAATAAGCAAGGATTCCTCCATTCCCTCTGGTAAAGGAGTGTTCACTGCCCACTGAATGTGGAGTCTCCAGCTACCAGCTTACTTTCTAGTACTGTTTAGCATTGCTGATTGCACCAGTTAAACTGTGTGCTCAGTTTCATCAAGCTTATTATAGCATATCTTTACCTATAATTAACAAATACAGTTTAATTAATTATTCCATAAAGCAGTGAAATATGAGTGCAGGAAGGAATGTTTCTATAAAAAATAATAAGTTGTGTATTTTGGAACAGTAGCCTAAAAGCAAATTGCCTTAAGAAGAGCTGTCAAATAAGATGTTGGCAAGACAACTGAAAAATGGCGGAAAAGATAAAAATAGGAAAGGAATTCTGTACTCTGATTAGTTTACACATATCTTTTAAGTTTACCCCACACTATGAAAGAAAAAGAAAAGATAAAAGTGTGTGGCGATGTCTGTGATTTATGCCAGGAAGGCAAGGTAGGATTTTCAGACAGCGGGCATGTCCTTATAGAAAAGGCCTTTGCCCCATAACCAAAAATTGTCCAATAAATGCATGTTTGTATGTGATAAACTAAAGTGTTCCTAGTTTATACATGCCTTAATGGTGCTGGTAAGAGCATGCCTGTTTTTACCCCCATTTAACAGATGACAGTGAGGACCAGGGGATCACGATCTTAACCAATGATGAAGAGACCCAGAGTTAATAATTTATATTATGTTTTTAATCCTGTTGTCTGCTTCTGTCTTTCGAATGTTTTAAGTATACTTTTAGGCACCTTTTCTTGGCCCCAGTGGCTTTCTCATTACAATCAGGCTGTAGTGCCTACAGCTGACACTGGTATTTAGAAGGCTCTGATGTTTTCAAGCCAGGCTAAGGCCAGTGTTCCTGGCTTTTCTCCTGGGAGTAATGGCTTTTCTGTTAAGGCATCCTTTCCTGTAGGAGGAGGAGCTCAGTGACTTTCCTCACAGACTGAGATAAACGTCATGATAGAGATAAGCCATCAGATACTTAGAATTTGATGCTGTTTGCATTTCCTTCTGGCTTGTTGTTTGGGGCTGACGCTTCTTAGTCCACAGGTGCAAAGATGGAAAAAAAGTGTCAGGAATATGTGAGAAGGATGGAAGCCTTCTTTCTGGAGAAACTCATATAACTCTCCCATCATCCAGCAAAACAACCCAGGTGTGTGTATATGCGAGGGTGTGTGCACGTGGGTGCATGCACCGGGCTGAGTAATTATAACCCTTATAGAGGCTTATTGTGGTGGAATGCAGCCTTCTGGGATCTGGAGAGAGAGAGGTCTCCTATGTGAGCTCTGGATTTTGACAAATGGCATATTTTGGGATGTGGGGTTTATTTCTGCTGAATATCTGGCTTGATTAGCGTGGAGAAGCACATGCAAAGCAGACTGAAGCCCCACCCACCCAAGCCTCCCCAGTGCTGTACAATCAGGAAGTGCATTCTCACTCCCATTGTGGCTTTGGAGGGAAGTGTGCTTTACATATGCAAATGCAAGCCCCAAGTTTCACTTAATAATTATCAGCTGGAGATTCTATTGATGAGCAGCTGAAGCTACTCATCAGTAGAGAAACTGTGAATTAACCATTTCTAGGCCATCCTGGAGACTGCTGCCTCAGACCAGCCTCTGAATCCACTGGCGGTTGCAGAAAAAGATTTCTGATTCCTCCTGTGTGTCACTTCTCCTGTCTGACCTGAGCCTGGCAGCTGAGACCTCCTGACCCCTTTTATTATCATGTGTGCATCTCTTCCCTGCTCCCACCTCCTTTCTGTTTTGTAGGCTACAGAAGGCAGAATAGGTGCGTCTCTATTGGCAGTAGCAGGATTGCTTACAGCTCTAGAAATAATGGCCTCATGCACTCTCTGCGGTAGCTCTCCTGCTTAGGCAGCTGCCAGTGTCCTTTTGAAAGGGCACAGGACAACCCAGGCAGGGTAGCCAGGGTGTTCAGATTAAGATGTCAGGAAATTGCCTTCTTTCTGATTCTTCTTTCCTTTCTTCTGCATCCATGCTTGCCCTCTGAGTGTAATAATAGTATACTTGGGCTGCTTTATCAGCCTCGCTTGTTCTTGCTGTGCCTTGGTAGAGTTCAGCAGACTGTTAAAAATGGTATGATTTGGATTCTCTTGTTATTCATCTTTCTGCACCAAGTTCCTTACTTTCCTGAATCTTGTTGAAACAAGGCTGCTGCTTCTCTTTCCTGCAAGTGGCATCTTGCAAGAGGGTATCCCCAGCTTGTTGTATAGAAGTACAACCTTTATTTCCTGGAAAGAGATATTTAGATGCAGAAAGTAAAATGAAAATCGAGGTTTTTTTTGGAGTCAATTTGATCTTTTTTTTTTTAACTTCTTTTTGCAGTAAATCTTGCAAGTTACTTAAACTTTACTTAAGCCCAGTGAGCCTCTGTTTCTGCTTTTTTTTTTCTTTTTTCTTGAGACGGGGTCTTGCTCTGTTGCCCAGGCTGGGGTGCAGTGGCACGATCTCGGCTCACTGCAAGCTCCGCCTCCTGGGTTCACACCATTCTCCTGCCTCAGCCTCCTGAGTAGCTGGGACTACAGGCGCCCACCACCATGCCCGGCTAAGTTTTTGTATTTTTAGTAGAGATGAGATTTCGCCGTGTTAGCCAGGATGGTCTCCATCTCCTGACTTCATGATCCGCCTGCCTCAGCCTCCCAAAGTGCTGGAATTACAGGTATGAGCCACCGCGCGCAGCCCTGTTTCTGCTTCTTTAAAATGGGGACAATAAACCCGTTTCAGAGAACTGAAATCACTATATAAGATAATGTATGACATTCATCCCGCCAAAGTGGCTGGTCAGTAAGGGAGCCCTAATCTTGATCCTCATTTGAAATCCGATTCTCATCACTGAACTGTTGCAAAAGTTGCTTGTATTCACCTGCGTTCTTGATTTAGTATCAAGATGTGTCTTTTGAGTGCTTACTGTGTGCTTGGTTCCAGACCCTGGAGATACTGTTGTTGAAACAGATCCACAGAAGACTCTGCTACCATTGAACTTGTGTTCATGAGGTGGAGACAGGCAAATAAAAAGGAAACAGATACGTTTATACTTGAGGAGAGTGTTGTGATTTGTGGAGTGGAGAAGAATAAACCAGGGGACAGAGTGAAAGAAACACTGTGGCCTCAGGATGGGCAGAGATGGGGTTTTAAAGGTTGGCTTACAGATGCTGCTCTGAAGAATGGTATTATATTTAAGCAGATTCCTAATGAACGAGGGAAGAGGCAACAGCAAGTGTAGAAGCCCTGAGTGGGAGAGTGCTTGCTATGTATCCCAGGAGCATATGCCAGGCCGGCATGGCTGGTGCCCAGGGAGCAGAGGAGCATTTTGAGGTCGGAAAGATAACTGTGGTTGATGGGAAGGCAGGTTCAAAGCCCTGGGTTCGAACAGGATAGACATGTGGTCTGATAACCAGTTTTTTTGTTGTTGTTGCTGTTGTTGTTGTTTTTTTAAGATGGAGTCTCGCTCTGTCACCGGGCTGGAGTGCAGTGGCGCAGTCTTGGCTCACCCTCCGCCTCTTGGGTTCAAGCGTTTCTTCTGCCGCAGCCTCCCGAGTAGCTGAGACTATAGGCATGTGCCACCATACCTAGCTAATTTCTGTATTTTAGTAGAGACGGGGTTTCACCATGTTGGCCAGGATGGTCTTGATCTCTTGACCTTGTGATCCGCCCACACTGGCCTCCCAAAGTGCTGGGATCACAGGCATGAGCCACTGTGCCCGGCCCTGATAGCCATTTTTAAAGGCCATCTGGCTGTGAGTGACAAGTAGAATGAGTGAGGCAGAGTGGCCTGTTAGGTGGCTATTGAGTGAGTCCAGGTAAAAGGTCCCAGAACTGGGGTCATAGTGGTGGGGGTTGTGGGGAAGTGTTTGTATCCAGGGTATATTTTAAGATCAAACCAACATTGCAATACATTGCTAATGACATACATGTGGGACATGAGGGAAGAAATTCAGGAGTGAGTCCTAGATTTTTGGCCTGTGCAGTGGGGAGCAAAAGTGATGACATTTGCTGAGAAAAGAAGCAGAAGGTTTTGGAGGTGGAAATCCAAGGCTGTGGTTTGGATGTGGGGACATGAAAGGACTCCTAAGTCATCATCTCCTTCCACAGTGTTGTGGCTGTGTAGGAATGGCCACGGTGTATACACGTTGTGCCAGGCACTGGGAAGCACAGGTGATTCAGCCTGGCTCCTGCCCTGAACAGGTGTTCAGTTGACGTGTTGAGACAATGGAGGTGGCATAAAGAGCTGTTACACATGGGGTGAGAGCCACTACCTTATCTACGTTGTGGAAGGTAGTAGGAAATCCAAGGATGGTGAAAGAAGAGAAGGAGCCAACTCACCCTGGGCAGATTGGAGAAGGGTTCCTAGAAGAAATTATTGAGCCAGGTGTTGGAGGGTCCATGGTAATTCACCAAATGACAAAACATGCAAAGGAAATAATACAACATTTTTAATGCTTATTCCAACTGCCAGCCCTGCATTCAGGAACTTGGCACAGGGCTTGTATATGTAGGGGCTCCTGAAATCCTTGTTGGTGAAGATCGTTGGTCCACTGAGGACTCTTCAGAGCCAAAAGATGGAAGTATAAAGTGCAGTAGATTTCACCAGCAATTTCAGAAAGTTTAGCAAGGCTTGAACCAGGATATCCTCTTGGCCAATCAGCCGCGTCATCCCCATCCTGACACTGTCTCTGAGATCAGTCCCTCAGGTGGGCCTCTGTCCTGCAAGGGGCTTTTCTTTTTGGGGTCAGAAATTGGGATCCTGTACTGGAGGCTTCACCATCATAGGCTTCCCCTTGGTCCTCTGCACCTGTTACTTCCTGCACTCAAGCGCATCATTCCTCTCAGCTTGCAGAGGAAAATCCTGACTTTGCCTTATAGTGGTATTGAGTTGAGGGTTCTTAGTTTTATTCTTCTTACTTTTATAAGACTGCTGGAAGCACCTTATAAAAACTCTCCGGTGTAGGACTTGGAAGAAAATACCCGTCCGTCAAAAGTAGAGATGGCGGGTTTTGACCTTAATAAGTATTAACACAAGATTTTACCCAAACATCTATCTTGCTCTTGGTAACATGTTATCTTTGCCAAGTGCCCATCCCAATAAAGCGTTATTTCTGTCAAGCTGAACTCCTGATGAAATCTTCTATTCCCCTCTCTCCCTGATCGGTTTCGATAAAACCTCATTCCTCATTCTGATTTTCTCCTAAGGGATGGTTTGGATTTGTCAGGAAAGGGTGAAAAAAGAGGTGATTTTTTTTTTCATTTTCCTCCTCTTATTTCTTTTTCTAATATAGATACTTGTTGGAATTGGAATATAACTTTAATGTAAGTCAAACTGATAAAGGGTGGTTGGACACTACTGTGAAGAAGGAAAAGAAGATAGGAAAAAGGAGGACAGTCACTTACAGGCAAAGGAATGTCCAGCCAGGCTTTTGCTTGTTTTCTCTTGTTTTTAATTTACAATGGAGCTGAGGAAGATAACACTGATTTAGGTGAAGTGGCATTTTACAGCAGGGGGATGCCATTGAAGGAATCAATGACATTCACAAAAGTACTTGCTTCCATTTTTTTTTTTGGAATGGGTTAGAATATTCTGGATGGCAGCTACTCATGCCGTTGGATGGCTATGTTGCCACTGCTAACTTTAACAAGTACAGAGTCCCCCTTATCTTTGATAACTAGCTCTTTCTATTCCTCTTTTTACCAGCCCCATCATTTCTGTCTCTCATCTGGTTCCACTATCGAAGAGTGAACACTGCAGGCCAGAGTTGGACACTTCTGGTGAAGTGTGGCTTGCATAGCAGGTGGTCTCCATAGAAGGCTAGGCAAGGGGTGGGGAGTTTGGATGAAGGGCGGTGATTTGTCTCAAAGCCAGTTGACTGTAGAGGAGATGGGGTATGTCAGAGGGCCCCGAGAATATGGTGCAAGTCAAGTCCATCCTCACTGATGCTGGGGCTCCTGAAAAGATGGGGCAGGGCCTTTCCTCCCATGTTGATCTTGCTTACATGCAGTATAAGGGAAGAGAACTTTTGCTCAGGTTTGGCAGGTGCACCATTTCAAGGGCAGTGGTCAGATAGGCAAACTGACCATTCTACCTGACGCATAGCCTAAAGAACACTCTCTGGACCAGGCTTATCCAACCTGTGGACAGCTTTGAATGTGGCCCAACACAAATTTGGCCACTTTGAAAACACTATGAGATTCTTTTCCTTTTTTTTTTTTTTTTTTTTTTTGGCTCCTAAGCTGTCCTTAGTGTTAGTGTTTTTTATGTGTGGCCCAAGACAATTCTTCTTCCAGTGTGGCCCAGGGAAGCCAAAAGATTGGACACCCCTGCTCTAGATTTTTAGTCATGTTTCACATTCAGTTTTCTTCTTACAGTCCCAAGACATTCATGGAACAACTGTCTTCCAAATACAGAGAAGGATATCAAAGTCTGAGTGGGTTATCTGGTAGTCCCCCTCCCTCCCGAGGACAGCAGAACACCATAGTTCAATTCTGATGCAGTCCAATTAAAGACACACTCATGATGTACGGTCATCATTCTGTTGGATCCTTTTTGATGAGAGTCCCTAACTCTTCTCTGTAGATCTGAATTTCACTTGGATATTTCTCCTCTCAAGTGAAGCAGGAGGGGCACAGAAGCCCAAGGAGCAGGAATGAATGGGGTCAGGGCTTTGCTGATTTGTCTGGCATCCTCAAATAGCTGCTGTTTGCCATTGAAATCTTTCATCCTCTGTAACCCAAACCAGACATTATTGTCAGTGCTCCTCATTTAAAAAAAAAAAATCACAGAAATGCCAGGTGCGGAAGCTCACATCTGTAATCCCAGCACTTTGGGAGGCTGAGGCAGATGGATCACTTGAGGTCAGGAGTTCGAGGAACAGGCTGGCCAACATGGTGAAACCCCGTCTCTACTAAAAATGCAAAAATTAGCCAAGCATGGTGGCGCGCCTGTAATCCCAGCTACTTGGGAGGCTGAGGCAAGGGAATCGCTTGAACCTGGGAGGTGGAGGTCGCAGTGAGCCAAGACTGAGCCCCTGTACTCCAGCCTGGGCAACAGAGCGAGACCCTGGCTCAAAAAAAAAAAAAAAATCATAGAACCTTTTTTGGTAATAAATATGGCCAACCAGAATGACAGTTTGAGGCTTACAGCAAGTATAGATTCACAAAGTGAGAAAAGGATAGTTTTCAACATACTCAGTATGATGAATGCAAAATAAAATTGAAAATCTTTGCTAAAAAATCATCCCATGTGGGTCTTCTGATTTGAACAAGATTTTAGCTACAAAAAAAAAAATCAAACCTCATTAAAAATTTTTACTGTAAAATATGATTCTTAGCACGTGTGATTCGCCTCACTCTTGGAACATTTTAGTGGGATTTTATAAGGGCTATGAATATTTCATATCAAATAACACATTTATTGCAAAGGTTTTAAAAAATTAAATCAGTGGAAAAAACACTTATGAAATCTTTCATCTTGAGTGCTGCTAAAGAGAAAATTAAGAAATTCTATAGTATTTCTGCATTTGATTTTATAGTAAATAGCCACATTGAGGACACTCAGTTGATGCTTTGCAAAGGATAAAATCGTTATGGTTGTTTAGCTTTTAGTTTTGATGAATCTACCAACAAAGGGGATTGTGTCCAACTATTGCATATGTATGAAATAGGACTCAAGAAACTGGGGAAGGAGAAAGGATGCTTTCTCAGACTCAACCATTGGAGACCGTCACTAACGCTGGTGATGCCTTCAAGGCTGTGTAAAAGTGATTGAAGTTTAGGGGCTAACTGGGGGCAGAGGCTCTTCAAAGATGACTGGAATGTGAATTTATTGTGCTCTCACACACAGATCAATTGTCAGGATTTGCGGTGAATATCTATTCACCTTTTCTAGTATACACTGTTATCATTACCCTCCAATGACGGTTTTCTAAACCACCTGGTGATCTAAGAGAAGACCTTCACTCTGCTGTCAAGTCCTTCCATTTTTCTAGGAAACAGAGCACTAAATACATTATCTTTTTTGGCCTTGGTTGGTGACGATTTGAATGCTACTAACAAAGCCCTTTTGTCCATACTCAGACTCCTTGAGTATATGACGGGCCAGTTATAGAAGCAGGAAGACATGGTTGCCCCACCATGGTAACAGCAGTTCAAAGACCAACTGCCTCCAACTTTCAAAACTTAGCATATTTGGCAAAAAAAAAAAAAAAAAACACACACACACACACACACAACAAAACATTTGAAGCTTTGAAATCATTGAACCTGAAGTTTCAAAAGACAAAAACTGGTATCATTGCTCGTTAGAACACACTTCAAGCATTTGTAGTCTAAACCCAGGTATAGGTACAGCAAATTGGTGCTAAAAATGTCTTCATTTTCTTGACTTAATGAAGCTCTTTAAGCTAACGTTCTTGGAAATGATTTTATGGAAGACAAAAGTCAGATCTCATTCAGCCTATTATGGTGCAGTGAATCCAGGCCTCTTTCCCTGGCACTGTAGTTGCAAATTCTTTTTAGAAGCTAGTGAGGAACTCTCCTTTTTTTTTTTTTTTTTTTAACTGTTCTTCCATCTTTGTCAGAAGATCTGTCTCCAGGGCCTTTGCTGGAACTCAAGTGTGCTTTGGTTGCCAAAGATAACTTCCAGAAAATCACTTAGGGGAATTTTGGGGCAAAACATTCCCTGTGTACCTCATAAAAAGCGAGCAGCCTTTGTGTGTCATCATTGCCATTTTCCTTCCCACAGCAAATCTGATTCCATGCTTTTGAAACTTAAGAAAATGGCTCAGCCTGGACCTGTGTCTTGCTGTGACTTATAAACTGCCTAGAAAAGAAAAGCTGATGACACGTTGGCAGACTCAGCTCTCCTGTGGACATCTCATGATCAAAATTAACTTTTAAGATCAAACTGAGTTTTCTAAATTTTTCTAAAATGACTTTGGCTGCAATATTTAATTTACTTTGAAATATCAAATGATATTAGATATTTGGCATTGAATGAGGGTGTGAAATCTTTATGTTAATTAAAAGGAGGGCATTTTCTAACAAAAATTACAAATTGCTAAATGAATATAGTCTCATATGGAGAATGAAAAATTGAAACATATATTGGAATAAGGTGACCTGTGATTGGTCAAGAGAAAGGAACCAGAAACCGGAGAAGCTGGATAGTCAGGCAGCTGGGCTAGAAGGGAACTGCTTTTGAAGGAGACTGTCTTCCAGGAAGCAGGGCGATGCCGAGGAGCAAAGCAGGCCCTATGCTTGGAGGAGCTACAATACCAGGAAATCATGTGGGTCTGGGTCACATGATGGAAGCTGCTGAGAGAATACAGTAGAGGCTTGTGTAAGGGAAATGGAGTGCAGGGTCAGAGCAATACTATAATTAAGTGTGGCAATGCTAAGACTTCCTTTGAATCTAGAGAGTCTGGGGAAATGCCTCAGCCAGCATTTCTCAACCTTCATTACACATGAGAATCCCATGGGAGTGGCTGTTTTTAAAAATGCTGAAAACCCAAAGGAATATAAATCATTCTGTTACAAAGATACATGCACACATATGTTTATTGCAGCACTATTCCCAATAGCAAAGACTGGAATCAACCCAGATGCCCATCAGTGATAGATTCAATAAAGAAAATATGGTACATATACACCATGGAATACTATGCAGCCATAAAAAGGAATGAGACAATGTCCTTTGCATGAACATGGATGAAGCTGGAAGCCATTATCCTCAGCAGAGTAACACAGGAAAAGAAAACCAAAAATCGCATGTTCTCACTCATAAGTGGAAGCTGAACAATGAGCACATGGACACAAGTAGGGGAACAACACACACTGGGGCCTGTTGGGGAGTTGGCAGGGGAGGGAGAGCATCAGTAAGAGTAGCTAATGGATGCTGGGCTTAATAGCTAAGTGATGGGTTGATCTGTGCAGCAAACCACTGTGGCACATGTTTACCATGTAACAAACCTGCATGTCCTGCACATGTATCCCGGACCGTAAAATTAAATTAAAATTTTTTTTTAAATGCTGATAACTAGACCCCCACCTCCAGAGATGCTATATGAATTCATCTAGGTTGGGACCTGTGCACATTCATATTGTTTCCTAAGTTTTTTAATGGAAGCCCAGATTGAGGACCACTGGCCTGAGGGACCAGGGAATGAAGCAGAAACAACAACCGCAACCACAAATTAGGCTGGACTTGTTCGGAGGGTGTTGAATAGGAGACATTCCGGTTCGGTGCGGAAAGAGCCATTTATCTGGAGCCAGTGAACCTGGGTTCAAGACTCTCCCTCTGCCATTGTTGCTGGGATGACATGGAACTAGTTAAATCATGTGCCTGTTTCTCTTTTTTTTTTTTCATTAGTCAAATGGAAATAGTGAGAATACCCACTTCATGACAGCGTTGCATAAATTAAAATGAGACGATGCAGACACAGCACCCAAGGACATGTACTCAGGGGGAACTGACCAAGTGTTTGTTGAATTTGATGGATGACCTTGAAGTAGATAGAGTTGTTTTTGTGCATTATCAGACTGCAAACGTGGTGGAAATAGGATTGAAGAATGTTATCCGTGGCACCTGCGAGTGAGCTGACAGGAACAGGGAGAAATCAGAGGCAGGGGGACTAGCCCAGGAGACCCACACAATGTTCTAGGACAGGATCCATAATCTATGGCCAAAAAGTATGCCTGATCTGGCCCTCTGCTTGTGTTTGGAAATAAAATTTGACTGGAACACAGCCACAGCCATTTGTTATGTATTTCTATGGCCGCTTTTATGCTACAATGGCAGTCAAGTGCTTGAAGCAGAGATAGCATAGCCTGCGAAGTAAAGCACATTGACTCTCTGGATGTTTACAGAAAAAGTTTGATGACCCCTGTTTTAGGATAAGATTAAGAGGCTTGGCTTCGGATGAGATGTTTGAAATCAAATGGGAAGAGCAAGTGCTTCAAACATCAGGAAGAAAGAATTGGCAGGCTTTAGTGACAGATTGTACGTAGGGAGATTTTGCCATATAAAGGTTAGGGATGTAGTGTCTTTATCACGGGCAGGATGATGCAACCGGACAGCTTTCCTGAAATCTGGCACTAAGTGCAAGAGTTTGCTTTCCTAGACTAGAGAGATCTGGGTCTGTCACCCCTGAAAGGGTCTGAGCCCCCTTCATGGGAGGCCCATCCAGACCCTGGCCCTGCCTGCATTAATGAGTCCCAGTCCTATTCATTTCAAAGTGGTGGATCCCACATGCAGTACCAGATGCCAGCACTCTGGAGAGATCCAGAGATACTCAGCACATTCAGATTGATTGAGATCATCACTTAGGACATTTTGGATGGTAAGTCCCTAATCTCTGTCACTGCACTGCACGGAGGTTGATTTTCAATTTACCTTCTTTGTTCTGAATCTTAGATGTTTTGATTCTTAATTCAGAACATTCATCTCAAGTGGATTCAGAGATTCAGAGTCGATGATAAATTCATGTTTGTTGAGAAGTTTTGCAGGGAGGAGGATGATGTTGTCAGCTTAGTTTTTGAATAATGTCTTGTTTGACATTTTAAGCTGAAAGTGGGCTGAACCGCAGATCAACACACACACGTATTGCATGATAGAACGATACATCATGTTCATACATAGACTGTGTATATCTAAAGAGTAGAAACCTGGAAGGAAAGGTAATAGAGAAACAAAGGTAAAGGCACTTACACGCAGGGGATTCTATCCACTTCTGCCTTTATGTGCCCTGCCTGCAGCTTTAGTGGGCTTGGGCTGGGAGAACAGCAGAGAATTTGAGTATTGATACGGTTTGGCTGTGTCCCCACCCAAATCTCATCTTGAATTGTAGCCCCCATAATTCCCATGTGTTGTGGGAGGGATGCAGTGGGAGATAATTGAATCATGGGGGCGGTTCCCTCATACTGTTCTCATGGTAGTGAATAAGTCTCACAAGATCCAATGGTTTTATAAGGGAAACCCCTTTCGCTTCACTCTCATTCTCTTTTTGCCTGCCACCATGTAAGATGTGCCTTTGTTCTTCCCTCACCTTTCACCATAATTGTGAGGCCTCCCAAACCATGAGGAACTGTGAGTCCATTAAACCTCTTGTTTGTTATAAATTACCCAGTCTCGGCTATGTCTTTATCAGCAGCGTGAAAATTGACTAATACAAGTATCTACTCTGTGTAAGCCTGATATGAAGTAATATTTGTGTGTGTACACACACACACACACACACACACACTCATGCTTATGCTCCCATGTCCCTCATTTTACATAAGACACTGAGTCACAGAAAAGTTAAGTATTTTGCCTAAGTTATTTATTAGTAAGTGGAAGAACCATAATTTAAGCTCAGCTCTTTCTTACTCCAAATCCCATGCTCTTACTTATCTACTTGATTTGTTTGCTTTTCTCAGTTCTCTCTCCCTCTTCCCCAGCATCTAATATTATAATGAGATGTCTTTTTAAATAACTAGTAGTTTATGATGTGCTAGGCATTTTATGCCTTTTTTTAACAAAAAGTTATAGTTGTTAGTTCTTCTCTTTCTCTCTTCCTCAAATGCTTGCTAAGTATAGGGAGCATGCCAGGACCTGGGGATGGAGACTGGAGATTGGGCGGTGCCACTCAAGGTGTGATCTGCAGGCCGTTGTTCGTCCTTCTATTTGTCAGGGCTCTTTAGAGAAGCAGAACCAATAGAGTGTGCATATACAGCTATGTTTATTGTAAGGAATTGGCTTGCATGATTATGGAAGCTGACAAGTTCCAAGATCTTCAGGTTGAGTCAGCAAGCTGGAGACCCAGGAGAGCCGATGTGTAGTTCTAGTCTGAGTCCGAAAGCCTGAGAACCAGGAGATCTCATGGTGTAGTTCCAGTCCAAATTCCAACAGGCTCGAGACCCAGGAAGATCTGGTGATTCAGTTTGAGTTTGAAGGCAAGAAAAAGATGATGTCCCAATTCAATGGCTGTCAGGCAAGATGAGTTCTCTTGAATGTGGAAGATGGTCAGCATTTTTGTTCTACTCATGCCTTCAACTAATGGGAGGTAGCCAACCCACACCAGGGGAGGACACCTGCTTTACTCTGTCTACCAATTTAAATGTTAACCTCATCCAAAAACACCTTTAAAAAAAAACACCCAAAATGATGTTTGATCACATATTTGGGTACCACCTGGCCCAGTTGAGTTGACACATAAAATTAACCATATCCTCAAATTGTTGCTGCTCTGCAACAAGATACATATGGAACTTGAGACTAAGCATTTTAGAAACATCTAGAGCAAATGGACTTTGTGGCCAGCATCAAGTGTATGATCAATAGTCTTGATTAACGTAGTGTAGACCAGTTTGTTTAATTCCAGTGATGAGTTACACGTGGGCCAAGCTCTGTTTTACCTTTGAGTGTTAGGGGCAAATTTTTATCCAGGATGGACTGGGGGAGGGAGAAAAACTGGTTCTTCACCCAAGCTCCTTGTGCTTCCATGCCTCTCTTGCTGTCTTCACCACTGGTAGTTTGAGAAATATCAGTGTGGGCACAGTTGTTTACATAGCCATAAAATCGTATGTAATGGGCTGTATAACTACGACCTATACACAAAGCTTGAGGAGCGTTCCTGGGAGGGACCAGTGCCTGTAAAACGTAACAGAGAAACGTAAGGAGGCTGGCTGTTCACTACCCTGACCCTCTCTCCTGCTTGTGCTCCCAGAGAGTCAGGAGAAGCCTGAGCAAAGAGATCAGGAGCCAGAAAAAGGAATAGTCAGGAATAAAAGCAAAAGTCAGGATGAATAAAACGAGAATGAGCTGTGAATCTGGCAAGGCAGCAGGGCCCACTATTCACTTCTGATCATGCGGTGTTGGGATCATCTGGACCACACAGCTACGGAGAGTTAGAGCTGAGAGGGGACTCGGAGCACATCTCCAGGGCCCCGCCTTTCAGAAGGCAAAACTGGCTTGAGGAAAAGGAAGGGGCCGGCTCAAGATAATGGACCTTTAAAACAAACCAACAAACCGGAAAGGACAATTCTGCCATTAATTGAGCACTTCCTCCATGCCAGCAGTTGGGCACAGCATGAATGTTGCTTTTTTCAACATTGATTCCTCTGAGACCTGACATTAATTATTTAGTTGTGGCTTCATTGGTGACAAATCTATAGGGCTTTTAAAAGTGGGAAAACCCCCGCACGTCTTTGAGAGTTAAATTTGGTTAAAACCATTTGGGGTCTAAAGCAGGGGAGAAATGGACACAGGATGTCGATAGCATTTCTCTTAAGCCCACAATCAGACAATCATAATTTACGTAAATGTTTAAAATATGGGACTTTCAGGAGAGGGGCTAGAGAATGTGACCCGGCCTCTTTGGTGAAGCCTGCTTGCTTGCTCCTCCATGTTCTTACGGATTAACCATGACCCCGGCTAAGGATGAAGGCAGGAAGCTCAGCAGTGCCTCCTCTTGGAGTATATCTCAAAGGAAGCCAAGGTCTGTTGACTGCTTGTTCCCCCATACAACACACAGAACAACTCTGTGTTCTGAAAATACAGCGTGCTTTACACCTTAAATTACATCATCAACTCATCTTACCCATGACATCACCTTCCCTCACTGAGAAAGGGTCACAGGAACTCACTGATGCCAAGCGCCTCCCAATAAGGGACACCATGCTCTGTATTTTGTTATTTTGCTTAAGCCTCCCATCACTCTTACTGGAACATTTTATGTTCCCATTTCACAGAAGAAAAAATCGAAGCTCAGAGCACTGATGTAACTCCTCCAAAGAGGAAACTCACAGGTCCCATTTGTTAATTTTCTAGAGACCCTGAGACCCTGTTGAGCTTCCTGCATTTCTGCCCAAATGCTCCAAAATCCTTTCCTGAGAAGGAAGACCCTCTCAGTCTCCTGAGCGTCTTTACCTCTAACTTAGCACATATATGCAGGAGCATAGCTGAGCTCAAAGTCCAGGAGACCTTGTTTACAGTCAAACTGCAACATAATAGGAACACAGTTTAAACTTTAGTCTTGGTTTCTGCATCAGTAATAGGGATAACTATTACTACTTAATTGTACTGATAGCAACCTAAGGCATTATCAGCATGAACCACCTAGCGTGGTGCAGATCCATGATAGACACTACAGAAGGTGTAACTCCCGAGGAAGCCAGAGGTTCATCTTTACCCACCCCTGCTCAAAGGGTCGATGTTGGTTGAGAAAACGCAATTATTAATAGCTGCCTATTCTTTTTCATTCTCAGTTGTACCAAACAGGGAGACAGGTTTCAAAAGCTTGGGTTGAAGCTTGTAATTGGCCAGTCGGTGACAATGCAACCCTAATCAACCTGTGATTTCACGTCCCCTACCAATTCTGCATCGGCCTTTGATTTGTGGTCCCAGGCAGTGCAATTCATTGAGTCATATTTGTTGCATTGATAGGAGAAGACCAGGCACTTAGGCGTTTAACCCTGAGGTGATTAAGAGGAAAAAAAATGAGTCATATTTGTTAAGGCCCAAAGATACATCAAAAAGCCCTGGGCAGAGGCCGACACAAGCACAAGTGAGACCTGCAGGGTGTAATTCATCACATTCTTTGATCCTCAAGTTTGTGAGTCACAGAGACTCTCTGGGACAGTTTTGAAGCTCAGGGGTCTGGGCAGGAAGGAAAAACTTGAAGTATGGAAAAAGAGGAATGTTTTTTTGACAGGCAGCTGAGAGAGGACGATTTTCTAGAGATATGCTTTTTTTGCTTGGTAACCCCTGAGGTGGCTGTAAATGTAGCTGGAGCCCAGGATTTCTGCAGAGTGGAAACAGAAATAAGTGATAGCTTTGGGTATGCCTTGTGCCACTGGGGCTCCTGAACAGTAAGCATGCCTTGAGCGCCTACTTTATACAAGGTGATATAAGTATCCTTGGGAGATGGGGTTTTTATACTAATAAGTGTTTGTTTTTTTTTAATGTTAGCTCTCTGAATAGCCTATAATGAAAGTTTATTGAAGTGGAGAGTGTACAGGCCCAGATATCAGAGAGACCTGGGTGCGAATTCTGACATCACCATTGTGGTGGCATCACATTGAGAGACCTGCTTATCGTCTCTGTGCCTCAGTTTTTTGTGTTGTTTTTGTTTTTGTTTTTTGTTTTGAGACAGAGTCTTGCTCTGTCGCCAGGCTGGAATGCAGTGGTGCAATCTCGGCTTACTGCAACCCCTGCCTCCAGGGTTCAAGCAATTCCCCTGCCTCAACCTCACGAGTAGCTGGGACTGTATACAGGTGCGTGCCACCATGCCTGGCTAACTTTTTGTATTTTAGTAGAGACGGGGTTTCACTAGCTTGGCCAGGATGGTCTCGATCTCCTGACCTCGTGATTTGCCCGCCTTGGCCTCCCAAAATGCTGGGATTACAGGCATGAGCCACCACACGCGGCCGTGCCTCAGTTTTTATTGCAGGGTTGTATGATTGTTACATGGAGTGTTGCTGGCACTCACTTTAATGGTTAACTGTTTTTCTGGGAAAACCATGAGATGGGTCATGCTTCTACTTCTTTTTTCCTTGTTGCTTTTAATATTTTATTCTTGGCATGGAGCCATGCATCCAGTCTTCCAGCATTTCTCAGACCTTGTGACATGTTAACCACAAAGACAGGTAAGACCCGCCTTTGCCTACATTGAACTCCCAGTCTTCATAGGCAACATTTAGTAAAGCTGTTTACCAAATACAGTATGGCAGATACATGTTTTCATAGCGCTACATACAAATTATTTCGGAATATGTGGAAGGATATCTTGCCTGCAAATGGAAGAAGGTTTCCCCTGAGAGGTGATGCTTTTAAAACAGGATTTTGAAAGATGTATAGGAGTTTGCATAGGAAGAGCTCAATAAACTTAGTCATTATTATTATCTTTTTTCTTTTTTTTTTTTTTTTTTTTTGAGACGGAGTCTCACTCTGGCCCAGGCTGGAGTGCAGTGGTGCGATCTCGGCTCACTGCAAGCTCCGCCTCCCGGGTTCTTGCCATTATCCTGCCTCAGCCTCCCAAGTAGCTGGGACTACAGGTGTGTGCCACCAAGCCCGGCTAATTTTTTTTTTTTTTTTTGTATTTTTAGTAGAGACCGGGTTTCACCGGTTAGCCAGGATAATCTCAATCTCCTGACCTCGTGATCCGCCCGTCTTGGCCTCCCAAAGTGCTGGGATCACAGGCGTGAGCCACTGCGCCTGGCCTATTATTTTTTCCTTATTACTCGTTCTCTTCCTCTTGCTCCCCTCCACTTCCTGGTACTCCTTCTCCCCTCCCTTGTCTTTCTCCCCAATCCGCCCACTTTGTATTCATAATTCTTTATTGTTAAGAAGCCTACTTAGAAACATGCCAAGTAGGGAGAGGAAGACAGTGCATTTAATTAGAAACAATTTTATTATGATTGCCTTCTCTAAAAGGCATATTAGCTTTTATCACCATAATAAGTTGTTCTGTTCTCAACTTTGTTCCCAGTTCAATCTGGATGCGTTTATTTGTAACTCACTTTCCATCTGTTTTCCTTAAACATGGGATTGTGCAAGGAGCCTCGCCATGTAGTAAGGGATGTCTGGGGAACTTGGAGGGGCTTGAGGCATGGTTCATCCAGATTAAAGCTTCCCTGGTGTTTCGCTCCCCAGATGGAAAGCCCGTGTCTCTGTCACCGCTGGAGTCCCAGGCACACAGCCCCAGGTACACGGCCTCCAGCCAGCGGGAGCGCGAGAGCCTGGAGGTGCGCATGCGCGAGGTGGAGGAGGAGAACCGCGCCCTCCGCAGGCAGCTCAGCCTGGCCCAGGGCCGAGCCCCATCCCATCGCCGAGGCAACCACTCCAAGACCTACTCCATGGAGGAGGGCACTGGAGACAGCGAGAACCTTCGGGCTGGCATCGTGGCAGGCAACAGCTCCGAGTGTGGGCAGCAGCCGGTCGTGGAGAAATGCGAGGTAAAGGGCATCTGGAGCCTGGGGAGGAAGTTGTCCAAAGTCCCGATTGCCCTCACCCCTTGCAAATGCCTCCTGGAAACACAGCCAGATGCCAAGAGCTGGCATTCTTGATTCTAGCCCGGGTGTGTAAGTCTGGCTTGCTCGCTAACTTTGCTCAATGGTCTGACAAGTCATTTAGCCTCTCTGAGCTTCTGTTTTCCCATCTGAAAATGGGGATAAGAAGGCGTAATCTACAGATATTAAGAGGAGCTCACTGATGGAACCTACCGCTTGTTTCTATGTGGTTCATTTTGACATGCGCAGGGTTTCTACACCTAGCTGTCATCCTGTAGGCCCCTGCTTCTTAGACTATAGTGTGAATGGTACACCTGGAGTTGTGGCCCAGTTGGGCAGTTTTCTTAGACCTCATTATCACTTCACTGTATAAACAGCCTCTCCAATTCAGAACCACAGACTTGTTCCTTATCTAAAGAAGTAATTTGAACTTTTATAGCCTAATATCACTTCTCCCCTTTTAGGGTATGCTTTCTTTCTTAGCAGCTCTTTGGAAATGTGGGATATTTATTGTCCTCTATTTCCTCAAATACCTGCATCCACGCTTCTATGTGCAGTGAACACACATACACTCATTCCCCATTGTTTCCAGTTCTCATGGTGGAGATGAATTAGGGCATGCCTATTCATAGGAAGGCCTTTTGAGAGATGGGCGAGACTGAATTCATATCCCAGCTTTAGTGATTTATGCAGAGAGTACCCTTGATCCAGTTGCATAACTTCTGTGAACTCCAGGTGTCTCATCAGTAAACTTTAGGAAATAATACCTGCTTCATGGAGTATTTGTGAGAATTAAACAGAATGGCCATATAAAGGCTTGACTAGCGCCTAGTACATAGTACATTTTCAAAATTATGGTTAGTTTTTACTATTCTTAGTTAAACATAGATAGGACCTGCTGTTTCTTTATTCCATTTTCTGGAATAAAGAGTGGTTAGACTTCAAACTCCCTAAAGAGAATGCTTTGCAAACTGTAGTATTCTATTCTAGTGAATGGGATTATTAGTAATATTGGTGATACTATCCAATGAGACTATCCAGTGTCACTAACAAATGGCTTCCTCAGTGATGTAGACTAAGTTCTTTGGAAGTTCAGTGGTGAGGGAGGAGGACAAGGAGAGCCCCTGAGGATAGGAGCATTTCTCAGGTTTCTCAAGCCTGGTTGAAAAGTGGATTGGTGGAGAGGTAGAGAGCATCCGACAGAGGATGTCCAACGAGGAATGTGTCATATGAGTAGGAACGATGTGAAACAAACATCCATTATAGCAGGATTCGGGATGTCACAAGTTGGTCCTTCAGCCAAGCCCAGAGAACCTGGGCGAGGAGGTGGTTCTACTCCATCATCATCATTCATTTATTTATCCATTCGTTCAGCAAACATATTGCACTCGTGTTTTGTATCTCATTCTGTTTTATGTGTTGGGAAACAGCAGTGAACAACAGCAAAAAAGACAGAACCCCTTTCCCTCTGGTTCTTACATCTGTCATCAGAGGTAGAGGGAGAGATGATAAACAAATAAATAAATACAAATGTCAGGACGTGATAAATGCTGCACATTTATTCAGCCCTGACTGTATGCCAGGCCCAGTGCCCTTTAGTCTTTGACAACCACTGTCAGTGGCTTCTGTTACTTAATATCTCTATGTATGAAAACGGGCATTCAGCCACGTTAACAAATTCCTTTGGTCTTGGCTGGTCTGGGGAGGGCCCTAATTTAGGGATCTTCTGTTCTTGCCTTGGTGAAGGCATATTTGATTTCTTTCAGGTTCTCTGCTAGCAGATCACAGCCATGGTGTTGGTTTAGAAAGGGTTAGTTTGGATGGGAACTCTGCTACCCAGGTGAGATGGCCCAAAACGAGCAAATTTTTTCTCCAAGCGTATTTACACTATTATGACATAGAACCTAAAGAACAAATAAGAATCGAGGAGGGGAAAAATAAAAAAGGAAAAGGGGAAAAGAAGGCATAAAAAAGAGAAAAAGAGTTGTGTTTGTGGGGACATTTCTCTTCCTTCTGTAATCTCTCTAGCCAAGAGTTTCACTCCCCTGCTCAGTCTTCTGAGAAATAACTCATTGTAATTTGGGAGTCCCCTGTACAATTGTGTAGACCAAAGACCATTGGCTTTTGAAGCTGGGAGTTGTGAGTCTAAATCCTGGCCCCATTTCTAGTTTAACAGCTATGTGGCTTTGAGCAAGTAAGATCACTTTTCTGTGGCTGTTTCCTCATTTGCAAACTGTGGATTAAAATCAAGTTCTGGGCCCGACACAGTGGCTCATGCCTGTAATCCCAGCACTTTGGGAGTCCGAGGTGGGTGGATCACAGGGTCAACAGATTGAGACCATCCCGGCCAACATGGTGAAACCCCGTCTCTACTAAAAATAGCAAAAATCAGCCGGATGTGGTGGCGCGCATCTGTAGTCCCAGCTACTTGGGAGGCTGAGGCAGGAGAATCGTTTAAACCCAGGAAGTGGAGATTGCAGTGAGCCGAGATGGTGCCACTGCACTCCAGCCTGGGTGACAGTGCAAAACTCCGTCTCAAAAGAAAAAAAAAATCAAGTTCCTGCCTTTTACTATTTCAGTGGTGACAATGGATATTGGAACTTGAGGGAAATTCTAATGTAGTTAGTTGTATCAGTCTTAGATTTCACTGCAGGTTATCAAAAATCCCAACTAACACTGGCTTAAGCAAGATTTGCATCTTGTTTCTCATTGTGTTTAAGATGTCTGGAGGCCATCAGTGTAGGGATGGCAGTATTGGGATTTCTTTATCTTTCACCCCAGCCTGCTTGATTGACATTCCCAAGGTCATCTCATGACCCATAATGATTGTCAGAGCTTTAGCTATGTTGTCCACATTCCAGCTGGCAGGAAAGAAGTGTTAAGGTGGGACATACCACTTTCCTTAAAGAACGTATCTTGGAAATTTCACACTTCAGATCCTTTTAGATCCTATTGACACAACTTAGTTACAGGGATACCCTTAGCTGCCACCTAGGTCCAAGAGAGCCTGGAACAGATAGATTTTACTCAAGGAAGCCATGTTTTTCTGGAACATTCTGGAGTTCTGTTACTGTGGTCACAGTGAACCATGTCTGTCACATGGGTGGTTCTCAAACTTGGTTGTGTGTTAGAATTACATATCAAAAATGTGTATCCATGAGACCTACCCCAGACCTACTGACTAAGAATCTCTGGGAGTAGCCCCTGAGAATACAGATATTTAACAAAAGAATATATCCAGATGATTCTAAGATAGGAGAGATTGTTTGGAAACCACTGCTTTAGGCTGGACACAGTGGCTCACGCCTATAATCCCAGCACTTTGGCAGGCCAAGGCGGGTGGATCACCTGAGTTCAGGAGTTTCAGACCAGCCTGGCCAACATGGTGAAACCCTGTTTCTACTAAAAATACAAAAAAATAGCTGGGCGTGGTGGAGGGTGCCTGAAATCCCAGCTACTTGGGAGGCTGAGGCAGGAGAATCGTTTGAACCTGGGAGGCGGAGGTTGCAGTGAGCTGAGGTCATGCCATTGCACTCCAGCCTGGGCAATAGAGCGAGACTCCGTCTCAAAAAAACAAAACAAAACAAAAAAAGGAAACCACTGCTTTAAGGAGCAGCACATAGGATTGATGAATTTTCTTTATCCCTGTGTTCCTTGAAACATAAAACAGTCATATAGGAATTCAGATCTTGAACTCGTTGACTTTTTTTTTTTTAAACTTTAAATTCTGGAGTACATGTGCAGAATGTGCAGGTTTGTTACATAGGTATACATGTGCCATGGTTGGTTTACAGTACCTATCAACCATCATCTAGGTTTTATGCCCCACATATATTAGGTATTTGTCCTAGTGCTCTCCCTCCCCTTGCCCCGCCCCTCAACAGGTCCCAGTGTGTGATGTTCCCCTCCCTGTGTCCATGCTTTCTCATTGTTCAACTCCCACTTACGAGAGAGAACATGTGGTGTTTGGTTTTCTGTTCCTGTGTTAGTTTGCTGAGAATGCTGTTTTCCAGCTTCATTCATGTCCCCACAAAGGACATGAACTCATTCTTTTTTATGGCCGCATAGTATTCCATGGTGTATATGTGCCACATTTTCTTTATCCAGTCTATCATTGATGGGCATTTGGGTTGGTTCCTAGTCTTTGCTATTGTGAATAGCACTGCAGTTAACATACGTGTGTGTGTCTTTATGGCAGAATGATTTATAATCCTTTGGGTATATACCCAGTAGATTGCTGGGTCAAATGGTATTTCTGGTTCTAGATCCTTGAGGAATCACCACATTGTCTTCCACAATGATTGAACTTATTTACATCCCCACCAACAGTGTAAAAGCGTTCCTATTTCTCCACATCCTTTCCAGCATCTGTTATTTCCTGACTTTTTAATGATCGCCATTCCAACTGGCATGAGATGGTATCTCATTGTGGTTTTGATTTGCATTTCTTTGATGACCAGTGATGCTGAGCTTTTCTTCATATGTTTGTTGGCCGTATAAGTGTCTTCTTTTGAGAAGTGTCTCTTCATACCTTCGCCACTTTTTGATGGGGTCATTTGTTTTTTCTTGTTAATTTGTTTAAGTTCCTTGTAGATTCTGGATATTAGCCCTTTGTCAGATGGATAGGTTGCAAAAATTTTCTCCCATTCTGTAGGTTGCCTGTTTACTCTGATGATAGTTTCTTTTGCTGTGCAGAAGCTCTTTAGTTTAATTAGATCCCATTTGTCAATTTTGGCTTTTGTTGCCACTGCTTTTGGTGTTTCAGTCATGAAGTCTTTGCCCATGACTATATCCTGAATGGTATTGCCTAGGTTTTCTTCTAGGGTTTTTATGGTTTTAGGTCTTATGTTTAAGTCTTTAATCCATCTTGAGTTAATTTTTGTATAAGGTGTAAGGAAGGGGTCCAGTTTCAGTTTTCTGCATATGGCTAGCCAGTTTTTCCAGCACCATTTATTAAATAGGAAATCCTTTCCCTATTTCTTGTTTTTGTCAGGTTTGTCAAAGATCAGATAGTTGTAAATGTGTGGTTAATTTCTGCGGCCTCTGTTCTGTTTCATTGGTCTATATATCTGTTTTGGTACCAGTACCATGCTGTTTTGGTTACTGTAGCCTTGTAGGAGTACCATGCTGCTTTGGTTACTGTAGCCTTGTAGTATAGTTTGAAGTCAGGTAGCATAATGCCTCCAGCTTTGTTCTTTTTGCTTAAGATTGTCTTGGCTAGATGGGCTCTTTTTTGGTTCCATATGAAATTTAAAGTAGTTTTTTCTAATTCTTTGAAGAAAGTCAATGGTAGCTTGATGGGAATAGCATTGAATATATAAATTACTTCGGGCAGTATGGCCACTTTCACAATATTGATTTTCCTATCCATGAGCATGGAATGTTTTTCCATTTGTTTGGGTCCTCTCTTATTTCCTTGAGCAGTGGTTTGTAGTTCTTGAAGAGGTCCTTCATAACCCTTATAAGTTGTATTCCTCAGTATTTTATGTTCTTTGTAGCAATTGTGAATGGGAGTTCACTCATGATTTGGCTCTCTGTTTGTCTGTTATTGGTGTATAGGAGTGCTTGTGATTTTTTCACCTTGGTTTTGTATCCTGAGATTTTGCTGAAGTTGCTTATCAGCTTAAGGAGTTTTGGGCTGAGAAGATGGGGTTTTCTAAATATATAATCATGTCATCTGCAAACAGAGAGAATTTCACTTCCTTACTTCCTGTTTGAATACCCTTTAATTCTTTCTCTTGCTTGATTGCCCTGGCCAGAACTTCCAACACTATGTTAAATAGGAGTGATGAGAGAGGGCATCCTTGTCTTGTGCCAGTTTTCAAAGGGAATGCTTCCAGCTTTTGCCCATTCAGTATGATATTGGCTGTGGGTTTGTCATAAATAGCTCTTGTTATTTTGAGATTTGTTCCATCAAAACCTAGTTTATTGAGTGTTTTTAGCATGAAGAGGTGTTGAATTTTATCGAAGACCTTCTCTGCATCTATTGATATAATCATGTGGTTTTTGTCATTGGTTCTGTTTATGTAATGGATTACATTTATTGATTTGCGTGTGTTGAACCAGCCTTGCATCCCAGGGATGAATCCAACTTGATAGTGGTGGATAAGCTTTTTAATGTGCTGCTGGATTCGGTTTGCCGGTATTTTACCGAGGATTTTCACATTGATGTTCATCAGGGATATTGGCCTGAAATTTTCTTTTTTTGTTGTGTCTCTGCCAGGTTTTGGTGTTAGGGTGATGCTGGCCTCATAAAATGAGTTAGGGAGGAATCCCTCTTTTTTTATTTTTGGAATAGTTTCAGAAGGAATGGCACCAGCTCCTCTTTGTACCTCTGGTAAGATTTGGCTGTGAATCCATCTGGTCCTGGGCTTTTTTTGGTTGGTAGGCTATTAATTACTGCCTCAATTTCAGAACTTGTTATTGGTCTATTCAGGGATTCGATTTCTTCCTGGTTTAGTCTTGGGAGGATGTATATGTCCAGGAATTTATCCATTTCTTCTAGATTTCCTAGTTTATTTGTGTAGAGATGTTTACAGTATTCTCTGATGGTAGTTTGTATTTCTGTGGAATCAGTGGTGATGTCCCCTTTATCATCTTTTACTGTGTCTATTTGTTCTTCTCCTTTTTCTTCTTTATTAGTCTAGCTAGTGGCCTATATATTTTGTTAATCTTTTCAAAAGACCAACTCCTGGATTCACTGATTTTTTTGAAGGGTTTTTTGTGTCTCTATCTCCTTCATCCATGAGCATGGAATGTTTTTCCATTTGTTTCTGCTCTGATCTTAGTTATTTCTTGTCTTCTGCTAGGTTTTGAATTTGTTTGCTCTTGCTTCTCTAGTTGTTAGGGTGTCAATTTTAGATCTTTCCTGCTTTCTGTTGTGGGCATTTAGTGCTATAAATTTCCCTATAAACACTGCTTTAGCTGTCTTCCAGAGATTCTGGTATGTTGTGTCTTTGTTCTCATTGGTTTCAGAGAACTTATTTATTTCTGCCTTAATTTTGTTATTTACCCAGTAGTCATTCAGGAGCATGTTGTTCAGTTTCCATGTAGTTGTGCAGTTTTGAGTGAGTTTCTTAATCCTGAGCTCTAATTTGATTGCACTGTGGTCTGAGAGACTGTTTGTTATGATTTCTGTTCTTTGCATTTGCTGAGGAGTGTTTTATTTCCAATTATGTGGTCGATTTTAGAATAAGTGCTTTATGGTGCTGGGCAGAATGTATATTCTGTTGATTTGGGGTGGGGAGTTCCGTAGATATTTATTAAGTCCACTTGGTCCAGAGCTGAGTTCAAGTCCTGAATATTCTTGTTAATTTTCTGCTCATTGATCTGTCTAATACTGACAATGGGGTATTAAAGTCTCCCACTATTATTGTGTGGGAGTCTAAGTCTCTTTGTAGATATCTAAGAACTTAATGAATCTGGGTGCTCCAGTATTGGGTGTGTATATATTTAGGATAGTTAGCTCTTCATGTTACATTGATCCCTTTACCATTATGTAATGCACTTCTTTGTCTCTTTTGGTCTTTGTTGATTTAAAGTGTGTTTTATCAGAGACTAGGATTGCATCTCCTGCCTTTTTTTTTTTTTTTTTTTTTTTTTGCTTTCCATTTGCTTGGTAAATATTCCTCCATTTCTTTATTTTGAGCTTATGTGTATCTTTGCACATGAGATGGGTCTCCTGAATACAGCACACTGATGGGTCTTGACTCTATCCAATTTGCCAGTCTGTGTCTTTTAACTGAGGCATTTAGCCCATTTACATTTAAGGTTAATATTGTTATGTGTGAATTTGATCCTGTCATCATGATGCTAGCTGGTTATTTTGCACATTAGTTGATGCAGTTTCTTCATAATGTCATTGATCTTTATAATTTGGTATGTTTTTGCAGTGGCTGGTGCTAGTTTTTCCTTTCCATATTTAGTGCTTCCTTCAGAAGCTCTTATAAGGCAGGCCTAGTGGTGACAAAATCCTTCAGGAGGATTTGCTTGTCTGTAAAGGATTTTATTTCTCCTTTGCTTATGAAACACAGTTTGGCTGGATATGAAATTCTGGTTTGAAAATTCTTTTCTTTAAGAATGTTGAATATTGATCCCTATTCTATTCTGGCTTGTAGGGTTTCAGCATATTGATCTGCTGTTAGTGTGATGGGCTTCCCTCCATAGGTAGCCTGACCTTTCTTTCTGGATGCCCTTAACATTATTTCCTTTGTTTCAAACCTGGAGAATCTGACGATTATGTGTCTTGGGGTTGCCTTTCTGGAAGACTATCTTTGTGGTGTTCTCTGTATTTCCTGAATTTGAATGTTAGCCTGTCTTGCTAGGTTGGGGAAGTTCTCCTGGATAATATCCTGAAGAGTGTTTTCCAACTTGGTTCCATTCTCTCGGTCACTTTCAGGTACACCAATAAAATGTAGGTTTGTTCTTTTCACATAGTCCCATATTTCTTGGAGGCTTTGTTCATTACTTTTCATTTTTTTTCCTTTAATCTTGTCTTCACACTTTATTTCATTAAGTTGATCTTCAATCTCTGATATCCTTCTGTTTGATTGATTCGGCTATCGATACTTGTGTATGCTTCACAAAGTTCTCGTGCTGTGTTTTTCAGCTCCATCAGGTCATTGATGTTCTTCTTCTCTAAACTGGTTATTTTAGTTAGCATTTCCTGTAACCTTTTTTCAAGGTTCTTCACTTCCTTGCATTGGGTTAGAACATGCTCCTTTAGCTCAGAGGAGTTTGTTATTACCCAGCTTCTGAAGCCTACTTCTGTCAATTGGTCAAACTCATTCTCCATCCAGTTTTGTGCCCTTGCTGGAGAGGAGTTGCGATCATTTGGGGGAGAAGAGGCATTCTGGTTTTTGTTATTTTCAGCATTTTTGCAGTGGTTTTTCTTCATCTTCGTAGATTTATCTACCTTTGATCTTGGATGCTGATGGCCTTTTTTGTGGGCATCCTATTTGTTGATGTTGATGTTATTGCTTTATGTTTGTTAGTTTTCCTTCTAACAGGCCCCTCTTCTGCAGGTCTGCTGGAGTTTGGTGGAGGTCCACTCCATACCCTGTTTGCCTGGGTATCACCAGCGGAGGCTTCAGAACAACAAAGATTGCTGCCTGCTCCTTCCTCTGGAAGCTTTGTCCCAGAGGGGCACCCGCCCGTTGCCAGCCGGAGCTCTCCTGTTTGAGGTGTCTCCCAATCAGGAGGCACAGGAGTCAGGGACCCACTTGAGGAGGCGGAGTCTATCCCTTAGCAGAGCTTGAGTGCTGTGCTGGGAGATGGGCTGCTCTCTTCAGAGCCAGCAGGCAGGAATGTTTAAGTCCGCTGAAGCTGTGCCCACAGCCACCTTTTGCCCCAGGTGCTCTGTCTCACGGAGATGGGAGTTTTATCTATAAGCCCCTGACTGGAGCTGCTGCCTTTCTTTCAGAGGTGTCCTGCCCAGTGAGGAGGAATCTAGAGAGACAGTCTGGCCCCAGGTGCTTTGCCATGCCGTCATGAGTTCTGCACAGTCAATTAACACTGTGAGGGGAAAACCGCATACTCAGGCCTCAGTATGGTGGACGCCCCTTTCTCCACCAAGCTCAATCATCCCAGCTAGACTTCAGACTGCTGTGCTGGTGGGGAGAATTTCAAGCCAGTGTTTCTTAGCTTGCTGGGCTCTGTGGGAGTGGGACCAGCTGAGTGAGACCACTTGGCTCCCTGGCTTCAGCCCCCTTTCCAGGGGAGTGAACGATTCTGTCTCACTGGGATTCCAGCTGCTACTGGTGTATGAAAAAAAAACTCCTGCAGCTAGCTGGGTGTCTGCCTGAACTGCCATGTTGACTTTCGGTATAACTTATTTTCTAGTCTTTTGCACTTGAGAATTAGGTTTTGTTCTTCTTCTCTTTCTTTGTGTTTACTGATCATGTTAACTTCTTAGATTCTTAAAAAGTTATTTTTGGTAGAATTCTTCTATGAGGAACCCCTGGTCCTGTTCAGAACCTCCAATAGATGCACTTAAAAGTCTTGGCCTGCTACAGTCATATTTCAAAGCACACTCTCCACAAGGTGCTGGCCTCCTACCCATGAGCAGTGCACTTCCTCTCACTCCCTCATTTGGTGTCTTTAAGGATTTTAACGAAAAAGCCATAGAGGCAGACAAGAAATGTCAGTCAGTAGAGTCAAAATAGAAACTCCCTTCATCACAGCGCTTTTTGGTTCCAAGTGCTGAAGCTCATCTTGACATCCTGTCACGGTGCAGGGCCACGTAACCAGAGATGCTGCCACCATCTGTGGGTGTTGCGGAAACTTCTCTGGGCTCCGAAAAGCATTTCTGAAAACTCCTCTATCAATATGCCAAGGCTGTCAGCTGAGCTATCTGGTGATAGGAACAACGGGCCCTCATCAGTCCCTTTGCCCTCTTATCATTTGGTAATTATGTGTCTTTCAAATAGCTGCCTGTCTTATTCTTGCATATTTCTGTTGCCTGTGCAGTGCTGTTTCAGTGATGGCCTGGCCTCTGTGTGCCTCAGAAGTTGGAGCAGAACGATCCCCTTTGATCTTCACTCATGCACATGTGTGTATGGATGTGTGTATTTTTCTTGCCTTTCCGGTTCAGGTCTATTCTGGGACTCAGCTATTGTACGGAAGAAAAAACAGTCACTGGAACTGGTATCAGAATTCCTGAACAGGAGACTTTCCTTTGCTACTCATTAGTCTTGTGACCTTAGACAATTCAGTTACCTTTTGGGAGTCTATTTCATCATTATAAAATGGAAATAATAACATGTTCTTCCCAGTGCAATTGTGAGGATGAAATGAGGTGGAGGCAGGGGAAGCTAACTATGCATGAGTGTCACATATACTCATTATGAATATTCAACTTCTCCACTGGTACCTGAAAAATCACCTAACACTTAAATAATCTGAAACAGCACCAGTTATTTTATTAGCTGTCATGGTTTCTGTGGGTCAGAGATTTGAGAAGGACTTAGCTGAGTGGTTCTGGTATGGGGTCCCTCATACAGGTGGCATTAGTGTGTGGCTGGAGCTGGAACAGTACAATGCTGGAAGAGTGGGTGCTGACCCAACCTCCCTTTCTTTTAGACTCAGGTCCTCATGTGGTCTCTGCATGGGCTAGTTTGAGCTTCCTCACAGCATGGCAGCTCTAGGCAGTCAGCTGCTTACATGGCAGCTAAAGGCTTTAAGTACAAGTATTCCCGTAAGCAAGGCAGAAAGGAAGCACTTTTCATGACCTGGCCTCAGAAGCCACACAGTGTCACATCTGCTGATAGTGGATTCTGTTAGTTGAAATGGTCACAAAAGCCCACTCAGCACATACCCATCTCTCAATGAGAGGAACGTCTAGGCATTTGTGGATGTACTTAAGAACTGCCACAATGGATATTGTTATTATGGAAAGTGAATGAATGTTATCCTCTGATGCCAGACCACTCCTTAAGGAAGTACTCATTTTTCCTTCTGCTCCTTGCTTTGAACTTCATTTCTCAGTAGTAATGTATTATAGTTAATAACCGTTAATCAGTCCTTGAAATGTACCAGACATCATGCTAGAGCTTTACATAAAATATCTCATGTAATTCACACAACATATTTACCTTCATTTGACAGATAAGAAAACTGCTAGGAAAGGTTTTATAATTATTTCAAGGTCACACAGCCAGAAAGAGGTAGAGCTTGGGATTAAACCTAGGCAGTTTGATTCTAGAACCTGTTCTTTGAACCATTGCACTGAAGCTCTGTGAATTAGAGCTTGTGGGACCCAGACTCTCATCAGCTGCTGAGCCCAGATCCTTATTGTGTGCTTCACAGGGGCCTCACCTCTGCAGACTTTAGGGTTACCAGTCATTATATGGGGATCATCTTTCACCTTGGGGGCTTTAGCAGCCCCATGAGGTAATCGTTCCTCAGTGAGTTTAGGCAAAGATCTGTCTGTTCTTCTAAAAGAAGCTGAAATGTTTTAAATTATTCTCCAGACTATGGATGTATTTATTAGCTTAGTGGGGCGTTTGCATTTTGCTGGAGGCAACATGTTTATAAAACTTGATGCGTCTCACCTATATTCTGGGTCCTAACTAACCTTACAGTATTTTAATGCACTTTTTCTATTGTATCTTCATGGACTTTACATAATAACCCAGCAGTGAAGGCGTTTGCCAGCTATCTTTCCATATCCCACATTGCTGTTGGAGGATACTATCATAGCATTTAGACACACATTTTATTAGCTTCATAGGCCTTCTTTGGGGCTTCTTCAAGGATGTAAATCCACAAAAATAAAAATGTCCTCTTTAAATTTCAGGCCCTGAAATTAGGGGATGTTATAGCTGGAAGGAACCTGGTGGTATTGTCACGTGCAGTGATTTTCAGGGCACCTTAGGTACCCTCCCTGTATATGTTAGTTACTTATTGCTACATAGCCAGGTACCCTCAAAACTTAACAACTTAAAATGTCAAGCATTTATTATCTCATACAGTTTCTGAAAATTAGGAATCTGGGAGCAGCTTGGTTGGGGATTATGACTCTCAACCTTTAAAGAGATTACAATTAAGATGACATCAGGGGTTGCAGTCATCTGAAGGTTTGATTGGGGCTGAAGACTCTGTAACCATATAGTTTACTGACATGATTGGAATTCTCATTTCCTTAGGACTGTTCAAGTGTTCTCATAACATATCAGCTAGCTTTTCCCAGGGTAAGCAGTTTAAACAGAAGAAGTAAAAAGCTACAACGACTTTTATAACCTAGCCTCGGATGTCTTATACCATTACTTCTGCTGAATTCCATTGGTCATACAGCCCGGCTCTGACACAGTATAGGAGAGGCTACACGGCATGAAAACCAGGGGGAAGGGATCTTTGGAGACAGTCTTGGAGGCTGGCTACCACACCATGGCCAAGGCAAGGGACCATATCTCTGCCAGCCCCCTGTCTGTGCTGGCCTCAGAGTAGCCTTCTCTTGTTGCATATTCTGCTTTTTTGTAAAACTTATTTTAGAAATTGTGCCACTGAGAATGACAACAACAAATAAAGATGCAACTCTCTCATTTTAAAAATGATGAAAGGGTCTTGCCTCAGGTTACAAAGTTGCAGCCACAGCCCAGATGATGAGTCAAGTGTCTCACCTCCTCATTCCTGTGTCTTTTACCCTGTTATCTGGGGAGAGGTGACAAGGCAGTGTCAGCATTTGATGGAACAGAGGGAATTGGGCACCTTGAAGACCTTCCTTTCAATGATGGGAAAAATACTATCCTAACCTTACTTGAAGGTAGAGGAAAGAGTGAGAGAAGAAGAAAAGAACTTGATGGCTGACATTTGAGGAAATTTGGGGCTCAGACCTTAGATATAGAACGTTCAGCTTAGAATAAACTATAATTGTTATTATTATTGATGATTGCTGATACATACCCATTACTTACAAGGTACCAGGCTCTAATCCCTTTACGCGAGTCATCTCAGTTAATTTGCCCAACAGTTAGTTGACATGGGGCTGGGCATGGTGGCTCATGCCTGTAATCCCAGCACCTTAGGAGGCCGAAGTGGAAGGATTACTTGAGCACAGGAGTTCAAGACCAGCCTGGGCAACATAGCGAGACCCCATCTCTCCAAAAAAAAAATACAAAACTTAGCTGGGCATGGTGGAGAACACCTGTAATCCCAGCTACTTAGGAAGCTGAGGTGAGAGGATCGCTTGAGCCCAGGAATTTGAGGCTGCAGTGAGCCATGATTGTGCCACTGCACTCCAGCCTGGGTGACGGAGCAAGACCCTGAAATAAATAGTTGACACATTTATTACTCCTCTTTATAGATGAGGAATCTGAGGTCCCAAGAGGTGGAGTTACGTCTTGAAATGTGGGGAAGAGTTTGATAGGTGAGGTGAAGGGTCAGAGCAATCTAGAATGAAGGCACATTCTAAAAACAAGAAAGCTTGATGAGTCATCTAGCATGACCATAACATGGCGCTACACTGATCATTGTTGAGTGATTGTCTGGCTAATGTGTGTGGACTTTTTGGACCAGGCCAGTCTTCCAGAGGCCCCCATGATGGATCAGTATTGGGGTGTTGTTAGATAACCCACCTACCCCAGATATGATCTCCCTGTATTGATTACAATTCTCTTGACCCACCCCAAAATCGGTCTCATCCTTTAATGTTTTCTGTGTAAAATTTGGGTTTCTGATTTCTCAGGTGGCTATGCTCTTTATAGCACAAGAAAGTCAATCCTAAAGCAGACTGGGATATGCAGGATAGAAAATCCTGGATGCTTCATTCATTCATCATCCATTTATGTGCCTTGCCGTGGAGGGGACACCAAGAGACTCCTTGTTCTCACAGCAGGCCCTGGAACCCATGTGGTCACACCTGTTCCTCGCTGAGCCCTGAAGGCTTGGCTTACAAAGCCAGGTGGTGCATCTACTTCTGTTTTCTGCATAGTTGAAATAACTTTGTCTTTGCATCCATGGTTCAGCATTTAGAGTGGACAGATTTAGATGAGTGGTTTCCCAAATCCTGGAGGTTTGTAACATGATTTGAGAGGGTACATTTGCCATATGTTTTAAAAATGTTAATAGGTACATATGTGTTTTATTGAGGCCATTACTGTGGGCTTAAAAGCAGGACCCTGAATTCAACCCGTCACTTTGTCACAGACTAGCTGAGCCCTCGGACCTTGGGCAAGTTACTTAACCACTCTGTGTCTCACCTTCTTCAGCTTGAATTTGGGAAAAACCTGGATGTTAGGAAAATGCTGTATAGAAATTCTAAATCCCTTGTTTGATAGAGGCAGTGGCTGAGGATCCAAGAGGTTAGATAATTTGCCCCAAATCACTTAGCTGGCACAACTGTGTCATACTGGACCCCTTTTGACTCCAGTAAGGACAACACCGTGTCTGAGAGGTTGAAGAAGAGACTCAGAGCCAGTGAATGAGACAGGGTTTATGGAGAACTTACATACAGGGGTGGACCAGTGACCGCAGGCTGAACAGCAGAACTGCTACCATTTGTAAAAAGCATGCAGTTGATATCATGTTTTCACTTAGCAGTCTCCACCCTGCAACCATCACTTAACCAAAAATAAAGGGCCTCGATCCCCTGTACGGTCTGCATTCCAGGGAATGGGCCAGGGGTTCAGATTCCTTCATAGATAAGGAGTGAATCTCCAGATTGGCCACTGTGGGATTCTTTTTCTTTTTTTTTTTTTGGAGATGGAGTCTTGCTCTGTCACCCAGGCTAGAGTGCAGTGGTGCGATCTCGGCTCACTGCAGCCCCCACCTCCCGGGTTCAAGTGATTCTCCTGCCTCAGCTTCCCGAGTAACTGGGATTACAGGTGCCCGCCACTGCGCCTGGCTAATTTTTGTATTTTTTTTAGTAGAAATGGTTTCACCATGTTGGCCAGGCTGGTCTGACCTGTGATCCACCCGCCTCAGCCTCCCAAAGTGCTGGGATTACAGGCGTGAGCACCATGCTTGGCCCGGGATTCTTAGCTCAGAACTCCAAACACACATCCTTCTTGGACCATAGGGTCATTCTCAGGAATTGCCTAGGTTATTGCTGTCAGGTCTGTCTGCCATTACAAACTGGAACCAGCATCCAGCTCTCTGGATTTCCAGGGGTTTTTATTATTATTATTATTATTATTATTATTTTGAAATTTTTTTTGCAGTAGAAGCCTATACCCATTCTCATCTCTTTCCATTTTTTCTCACCCTGAAAGAGTAACAAATTCCAAGGCCTCGGGACATGTGGTGGTAGCTGAAAGAAGAATGCAGCCTTTCCTTGTCTTGTCCAAGTGAAGAAAAGTGGTGCTCTCTACTTGAGAGGAATTGGAAATAGATTATTTGCACGCCCTCGTACTCTCTCAAAATAATCACAGTTAACATGTGTTGAGTTTTTACTATAGAGTCTCTTCCAAGTGCTTCTGCTAGAGCAGCGGTTCTCAAAGTATGGTCCCTGGGCCGGCAGCAGCAGTGTCGCCTGGATGCAGACTATTCTCAGGCTCCACTCCAGAGATCCTGGATCAGAAACTGGGGAGGAGTCCGCACTCTGTTGTAACAAGCCCCTCCAGGTGATTCTGATGCATACTGGAGTTGGAGAGCCACTTACTCCATGTCCTTAACAAGCACTTTAAGATTATGTCCCCCATTATACAGAGGATGAAGTCAAAGAAGGAGGACTCTGAACAGTGTCTTGTGCTGTTTATTCATTCAGGAAACATTAATAAGCATTGATTTATTAGGGGCACTTTCTTGCACTCATTTGTTTGATCCTGACACAACCCAATCGGTAGCTGTTTTTATCTCCGTTTTACGGATGAGGCGAGTGAAGCTCAGGGACACTAAATAACTCTTCCAAGATCACGCGGCCACTTAGCTTCGAGCTTGTGGCTCCAATCGAGGTCTCTCTGCTCTTGTTGTGGGATTTGCACACTACGTTGCCCCTGCCTCTGACCCTCGCTGCTGCCTGTCTGACCCCGGCTGTTCGCTTCTCCGCAGCTGTCAGAGCATCTGTCCTCTGGGAGGTCTTGCCTGTCCCCCTCAACCCCACCAAAAGTCTGCAGCTACCATCCAGAATCTGTGCTGAGCCTGTCTTTCCATAGCACACCTGATGCCCAAGTTGAAATGGGTTTCGCCTCTCACTCTCTCAGTCTGTCTGATAGGAGATGCTTAACTGAATCGTGCCCCCAGGCAGAATGGGCTGAAGGGAGCACCAGGCCCTGTGGGCAAGAGAAGCAGGGCTGGCAGGGTGTTGAAGAGTTCTGCCAGGGCCACAGCTTGCCTGGCATCCCTTAGTTTGGTGTGAATTTCTTTTGGGACAATGATTTTTTTCCCCATATTTATCTGTGAAAAACTGCTCCCTGAGGATTCTTTCCTGCTGGGAGGCAGAGCATGGAGAACTTTATGTTTCAGGTTTTCATGGAGGCTGACAAGCAAAGAGTCACAAGTCCAGGCTGGCCCTAATATCACTGGTTGCTCTTGTGTGGTCACTGAAATGCCTTCTCCTCCAAGATGCTCTCCCTGCATCGTCTCTTATCTGGGTGATGCTGGCCACTCTGGGATGCAAAGACACCCAGCTTGCCATGGTAGGAGCCTCTCATTCTCCTGTGGGATCTCCTGGTTAACTATCAAATTGCCTCCACACCTGATTTTGGGGAATGGGGATTGTCTTAAAATTTACCTTTATTTCCTCCAAGCCCAGAACAGTCCTGGAACACTGGCAACTCTAAAAACATCAATGTTATGAATCTTTTCTGCAGGTTGTAAGACAAGGTCATCCCTTGACCCCAGTGGGGTCAGGAATGAACCCAGTTCACAGTTCTGCACTACCTTACCTGTATCATCAAGTACAGCCTGCAAGATTCAAAGTGTGCTGGGTACCATGTCTAGGATGACAGGAAATTAGTGGAAGCCTTAGCATTGCCTTAGAAAGAGCTTTTATGGTTCATTACTCAAGAGCTTTGTAAAGCTTTTAAAAAGTATAAATAAAATGTATAAATTCTCAAGTTTGTTACATTGGTGCCGTTTCCTTTAGGGATCAGCAAGTATCTATGAATGCCTGAAAGTCTTCTGTGCTTTCTTTCCAGCCAACAGGACAAGTGAGATGCTGAGGAAAGGTCCTCAGTGTTGGTCAGGTCCTGGCAAGTTACTGCTTGCATGCTTAGGGGCTGAAATGATTCCAGGAGGGGCCAAGAGGTATGGGCAGGGCTGAGGGGAGGCAACACAGAGGCAGGAAGGTGTTAAGAAACCCAGCAAGGACTGGAACTTGTGTGATTGGGCCCCTGACAGGAGCCGGGGAAATCTGACCTCTGAGACCCCCACTGGTGCCTCCCAATGACCAAACTCAACCCAAAATCAGAGGCAAAAGGAGCCCACTTAACGTGGTCTACAAAGGTCAGACTCAACCAGGCACGGTGGCTCATGCCTGTAATCCCAGCACTTTGGGAGGCCGAGGTGGGCGGATCACATGAGGCCAGGAGTTCAAGACCAGCTTGGGCAACGTGGCCAAACCCCATCTCTACTAAAAATACAAATATTAGCTGGGCATGATGGCCGCATGCCTGTAGTCCCAGCTACTTGAGAAGCTGAGGCAAGAGAATCGCTTGAACCTGGGACACGGAGGTTGGAGAGAGCTGAGATCATACCACTGCATTCCAGCCTGGGCGATAGATCGAGACTCGGTCTCAAAACAAACAAACAAACGGCCAGACTCTCCAGACACAGGACTGTTAGGAGAAGGGTAGAGAGTGAGTTGGAGGGGCAAACGAGAACATCATTCCATCCTCCATCTGGACTTTGTGACAGAGAAACATGAGTGTTATGTCTATACAGTCATGTGTTACATAATGACATATCTGTCAACAGTGGACTGCATTTACCACACTGCTCCCATCAGATCATAATGGAGCTAAAAATTCCTATTGCCTAGTGACATCATAGCCATCCTAACATCATGTGCAACACATCGCTCATGTGTTTGGTGATGTTGGTGTGAACAAACCGACTGCGCTGCCATTTGTATAAAACTATAGCGCAATTATGTACAGTACATAATAATACTAGAGAGAAAATGGCTGTGTTACCAGTGTATGTATTTATCATACTATCATTATTTTAGTGTATTCCTTCTACTTATTTTTTTTAAAGTTAACTGTAAAACAGCCTCAGGCAGGTCCTTCAGGAGGTATTTCAGAAGGCCTTGCTGTCGCAGGAGATGACAGCTCCATGTGTGTTAATGCCCCTGAGGACCTTCCAGTGGGACAAGGTAAGGAGGTGGAAGACAGTGATATTGATGATTCTGACTCCGTGTAGGCCTAGGCTAAGGTGTGTGTTTATGTCTTAGTTTTTAACAAAAAAGTTTTAAAAGTTAAAAATAAATAATTTTTAAAACAGAAAAATGCGTATAGAATAAGAATATAAAGTATTTTCATACAGCTGTACAATGTGTTTGTGTTTCAAGCTATGTGTTGTTATAAAACAGTCAAAAAGTTAAGAGCCAGGCACAGTGGTGTGCAATTATAGTCCCAGCTACTCTGGAAGCTGAGACGGGAAGATTGCTTGAGCCCAGGACTTCGAGGCTGTCGTGTTCTGTGATCATGTCTGTGAATAACCGCTGTACTCTAACCTGGACAATATAGCAAGACCCCATCTCTTAAAAAAAAAAATAGACAGTTGGCTGGGCGCAGTGGCTCATGCCTGTAATCCCAGCACTTTGGGAGGCTGAGGCGGGTGGATCACGAGGTCAGGAGATTGAGAGCATCCTGGCTAACACGGTGAAACCCCGTCTCTACTAAAAATACAAAAAAATTAGCCGGGCGTGGTGGCAGGCGCCTGTAGTCCAAGCTACTCGGGAGACTGAGGCAGGAGAATCGCTTGAGCCCGGGAGGCAGAAGTTGCAGTAAGCCGAGATCACATCACTGCACTCCATCCTGGGCAACAGAGTGAGACTCCGTCTCAAAAAAAAAAAAGAGATAGTTAAAAAAAATTTTAAATTTGTAAAGTAAAAAAGTTCCAGTAAGCTAAGTTTAATTTTTTATTGAAGAAAAATATTTTTTATAAACTTAGTATAGTCTAAGTGTACCATGTTTATAAACTAAGTGTACACAGTAGTGTACTATAATGTCCTAGGCCTTCACATTCTTTGACCACTCACTGACTCACCCAGAGCTACTTCGATTTCTGTGAACTGTAATCATGATGAGTATCCTATACAGGTGTACCATTTTTTTCTCTTATATTATATTTTTACTGTACTTTTTCTATGTTAAGAGATAGAAATACTCACCATTGTGTTACAGTTGTCTACAGGATTCAGTGTAGTATCATGTATACAGGTTTGTAGCCTAGGAGCAGTAGACTCTAGTATATAGCCTATGTGTGTTGTAGGCTATACCATCTAAGGTTGTGTAAGTGGACTCTAAAGTTGCTCGGAAGACAAAGTCACCTAACGATGATAGGCTACTCAGAAGATATCTGTGTTGTTAAGCAAAGCATGACTGTAATTTCAGGTGTAGACAGGAAGGCCTAGTGCAAGGACCAGTGGTCACTGATTCTGACATTCAGATCCCACCCTTTGGTTTGTTTGTTTGTTTGTTTTTTGGTTTTCGGTTTTTTGGGGTTTTTTTTTGAGACCGAGTTTTGTTCTTGTTGCCCAGGCTGGAGTGCAATGGCGAGATCTCAGCTCACTGCAACCTCTGCCTCCCAGGTTCAAGCGATTCTCCTGCCTCAGCCTCCTGAGTAGCTGGGATTATAGGCACACGCCACCACACCTGGCTAATTTTTTGTATTTTTAGTAGAAATGGGGTTTCACCATGTTAGCCAGGCTGGTCTTGAACTCTTGACCTCAGGTGATCCGCCGCCTCGGCCTCCCAAAGGGCTGGGATTGCAAGCATGAGTCACCGCGCACAGCAAAATTAGCCTGCAGTGATGGTGTGTGCCACCATGTTGGCCAGGCGGGTCTCGAACTCTTGACCTTAGATGATCCGCCCACCTTGGCCTCCCAAAGTGAGCCACAGGCATGAGCCAAGACCCCACCCTTTGATAGGAGGAATGTTGAATAGTTGTGACCATTTTTAATCTACCACACCAAGAAACTTAAAAACTGAACTTAATAGCTTCAAGCCCTAAAGTCACATGACAAAACCATTTTTGTGACCCCATTCTTTCAAGGATCGTTTATCTTTCTCCCTACTCTCCCCATTCCCACTCCAACCCCTGCCCCACTCATGGTTCACTTCTGTAACCCCAGATTTTGGAACACCCAAAACTCCTCTAAGAACATAGTCGATGCCACTGTGATTTTCTGCTTTCCCAGGGAGCAGGGCCCTGCTGCTATGCCTCCAGATGATGCATTTATTCATGGTGGCAGGTGTATTCGATGAAACTAAAGAGATTGGAAAATTATGTAAAATGTTCAAGAATGTGCATGCTTGTGCTTACATTTAATGGGCCCATTTTAAAAAGTCTCTGAACCCTGAAGCCAAGACAAAGTTTGATATCTCTGAGGCTGTATGTTTAAATATTTGCGATTCTGAAGAGCCTGATTCAGCGTGTTTTTCCCCATTCTCATCCCCTTCCCAGTTATGTCTTCCATGTGCAGGCGTTTTCCTATTCATTTCCCTCATGATTGAAATGGTGACAGTTACATCTGCATTATAATCTTTCATCCTGAGTCTTTTACAGATATTATCCAGAGATAAGCAATGGTGTCTTTCTTTTACAGGTGGAGAAATTAAAATATGCATAAATTAGCCTGAAAAAAAGGTACCAGAAAACCCAGAGGGATCTGACATTGCTTCATTTTGCTTCATTTTGCTCCCTCATCCCTCATACAGGGTTTTCTAACAGCACTGCTCTTGACCTTTGGGGCAGGACAGGTCTTTGTTTTGGGGCTGTCTTGTGCATTGTGGGATGCTGAGCAGCATCCCTGGCCTCTACTCACAGATGCCAGTAGCATCCCCCTGCCCCCCACCCCAGACCCACCAAGTAGTGACAACCAAGACTGTCTCCAGGCATTGCAGATGTCTGCGGGTTGGAGGATAGGGAGGTGAATATGTCCCTGGTTGAGAACTACTGCCTTCCAGTAGAGCATTTGAAGATCCTGGGCATCAGGGACTGTGAATTATTGGTCTGAAGGACGGAGGGCCTGGGGCACAGAATATATCTTAAAAATCTGTTTCTGATGTACCACCAGGGTTAAGAATCTATTCTAGGCGGGGTGCGATGGCTTATACCTGTAATCTCAGCACTTTGGGAGGTCAAGGTGAGTGGATCACTTGAGGTCAAGAGTTTGAGACCAGCCTGACCAACATGGTAAAAACCAGCTCTACTAAAAATACAAAAATTACCTGGACGTAGTAGTGGGTGCTTGTAATCCTAGCTACTCAGAAGGCTGAGGCAGGAGAATCACTTGAACCTGGGGGGCAGAGGTTGCAGTGAGCTGAGATAGTGCCACTTCATTCCAGCCTAGGTGACAGAGTGAGATTCTGGCTCAAAAAAAAAAAAAAAAGCAAAAACAGTCTGTTTCAGAATTCAAATCCCAATTCTCTAAGCCTGGGTTTCCTGATCTGTGATACTAAAATGATAATACTGTACCTGTCTCATACAACTTTGAGCCTGAAATCTGGTAATATGAAGCACAGTGCCTGGAATGTCATGATTTGCTCACTACATACTAGCTTTCATGATGCTTCTCATTCCTCTCTTGCATCTCCCCTCCTCTTTCTTCTTGGGAGCAGGTATAAGAGCAGAGGTGGAGACCGTAGCACCCATCTGGGTTGGGGATTTGCATTTTGAATGTGGGGGTAGAGTGCATACGGGAGCTGAGAGCAGAGTGGGGTGATGGTTCAGATGAGCCCTGGTGGGGGCCAGCATGGAGCCTAACAGTCAACGGCAAAGGGACCCTCCATAGAGGAAGAGGAGCGGTAGAGTGATGTGAGGCTCTGAGTCCTGCTCATGTGGCAAGCCCATAATTGTAGGATTTCTGAGAAAATTAGATTCTATATGAAGCCAAGGTCAAGTTTCTCGTACTGGGAATAGGTGTCCAAGTTGGGGTGAAGGTCATTGGGGTTAAATGGGTCATGGATGTGGATTGGAGGGTGTGGGATGGTTCATCCCTGATGGCCGAGCCTCCCGTGCTGATATAAGACAGTGGGGTGATGAAGGAGGCCTGGGAACCAGAGGACATTGTCACATCACCCTGTATGGGATGGACCCAGATATCAGAACTGCATTTTGACATGGCTGGTTGGGATAACAAGGTATCTGGAAGCCCGTGTCATGGGAGCAAGGGCTCTGAGGAGTTCTGGAAAAGAAAAGGCATCTCTCAGGTCCCCTCCTTTAATGGAAGTATTGAATGCTGGAGGAAACGTCATTGTTCTACAATATGCCCAGGACAGAATGCAACTGGAGTGGGTGTTAAGAGGCAGGTTTCCATTCAAGGAAGGCTGTGCTTCAGTAGAAAGGACAAAATCCGGAAGTATGAACTCTCCATTCTTCCCGAGGCTGGATAATGATGTCCCGTCGGGGATGCCCTAGAGTGGTGCTTTCCGATCTTTTTCAAGTTGTGCCACACATAGAAAATGATAACTGCTATGATGCAGGAGGAAAATAGAAAAGTTGCCTGAGGATGCCAGCCCCGCCCAGTAGCTTAGAGGGCGTAAACAGATGAGTATATTTGTCACCTGTAATTCAATCGTGGCACACTAAGGTGCCTGGGCACTCCATTTGGGAAGCCCAGCTCTGGAGGACCTTTTTTGGTATCATTGGAATGTAGTGTGGTGGGCAGCATATTCCCCTCTTGGCATTGTTCCCTCACTCCTTAGCACCATCCTGCAAGACACATGTCATGACGCTTAAATGGCAGTGAGTCAGTGGACCCTGCAGCACTCCCAGGGTCACCCTGAGTTCAGGGATTCATGTCTGAGGCCCATGCTCCTGGCTACTTAGTTGAGATGACCCCTTGGGTTCCCTTCAATTCTGCCAGTCTTCCGTTCTTTGAACTGTATCCCAGATGGGGTGCGGAGGTGTTCCTGTGTCCCCTTTGGCCCTTTTATTAGGTTGACCCTAACCCAACACATCTTGTGGGAACATTTCACTAACTCTCTGAGCCATAACTTCTTAGTCTGAGATCCCTGATTGTTGGTTCATACTTTCAAGATGTATTTCTTTCCTCTCTGTTTAACCAATTGTCATTGTCGCTCAGCTTGAGGACAGGAGACTCACTGTTTGCCTATTTGAGCCAATCACCATCTCTCTTGTCCCCAAAATGTAATTGGAAGGAGCCTTAATGGTTTCCAAATGATAATAGCTCCATAAGCCGATTAAAAAGGCCTTAATAAAACTGTCTTGAGTTATTTTCCACAGCTGCAGACAGTGTCCTTTGTTTTCTAATGATGCCAACAAGAAATCAGGGCAATTTTTCTTTCTAGTGTGATCTGAAGCACCAGGAAGGCCTCCTTCCGTCTGTCTGACTGCTCACCCCGTCTTCTTTTCTTCCCAGACAATCCACGTTGCTATTGTCTGCGCCGGATACAATGCCAGCCGGGATGTCGTCACCCTGGTCAAATCCGTCCTGTTCCATAGGTAAGAACAACTTCTGTGCTGTGTGGGCTGAGGTCTGTCACTGCCTGCCTGTGTATTTCCTTGGGGAAGGGTTAAATAGGAGCAAAATTTCTCATCAATCATTCTAGCTGCCATAAAAATGTAATTTTTGTCTGAAACCCTGAGGAGATGATTGTGTTAACAATGTTTAATGACAGCGATTAGGTGCTGTCTTGCCATGTTTAGAATTGTAACTCTCAGACCTAATGCAATCTTAAAGGACACCTCAAATCTGATGCTTCAGTCTCTCTATCAGCTTCCCCTGCCTAGCATTTACCAGATCTCAGTTGTTATACATCCTTGTCGGTAGGTTGTGTTATGGATTGAGTTATGTCCACCACAATTCTTATGGTGAGGCCCTCATTCCTGGTACCTGAGAATATGACTGTATTTGGAGATAGGGTCTTTAATTAGATTAAAATGGGGTCATTAGTGTAGGCCCTAATCTAATATGACAGGTGTCCTTTAAAAAAAAGAGGAGATTAGGATACAGACATGTGCCAAACACAGACCATGTGAACATACATTGAGAAGGAGGCCATATGCAAGTCAAGAGAGCGGCCTCAAAAGATCTTGGACTTCTGGCCTCACAGACAGTGGGAAAATAAATGTCTCTTGTTTTATCCACCTAGTCGGTGGTGTTTTCTTATAGACAGGTTGCTTCCTCTATTCTGGTGTGGGCTGTCCCACTTTTGGGCATTTCTGACTGTAAAAAAGTCCTGCCTTAGTTAAACTGTTTCCCAACCTGCGGATGATCTCCATTGACTCTCGTGGACCCCCATGGGAACCATCATCCTAAGGATTGGTTCTTCTTCTACCTGGAAGTGATAATGCCTCTGGATGCTCATCTCTTCTCCATGTGACACTTCCAGCATTGGCTTCTGCTTTCTCATGGAACTTTTCTTCTGTTCCTCACTATTTTGATTGGCATCTAGACATACCCAGGGTCCTATCCAGAATGGTGTTCATGGTTCCAGCCAGTGTCCTTGGCTCTGCTTTAACACTCTTGCCAAGGGTTTGGATGAAGCTTATCCACAGCTGTAGCCAACAGCATGGAAACCTGTTGGGTGGATGAGTCAGGATCCAGGAGGCTCTCCATAGTAGGAATAGTGGTGAAAAGTTTGCAGAGGTCAGCTGAACAGAGATCAGTGTAAAATGCTGCACCTGAATCTGTCAATGGCATAAACAAAGATGGGAACCATGGTGGGCTTCAAGACCTACCAACCCTGCAAGGAACTGGGATTCGTCATTGGTTCTACCTTCTCTCTGTCTTCCAACAAGCCCATCTGCAGTCAGTGCTTTGCGATTCTCCCTCTGAGATAGTTTTCACTTTCTCCCCGTTCTCTCCATCCCCACTGCAACTGATGTCATTCAGGGCCACCTATCCTCTCACCTTCATGTGTCCTTCCTGCTTCCCCAGTTTCTACTCTTCAGATCATCTGCTGTGATTCCAGAATGACATTTCAAACAGGCACATCTGATTTCTCAAAACCTTTTAGCGGCTTCTCCTTGTCAAGGGGTGGAAATCAAACCCTTTTACCATGGCACAAAGACCAGGTTGATCTCCATAGTGCTTTCTGTCTCCTCTTTTTGCTTTGACTTTGCACTCCAGCAGCTCTGACCTGCTTGTAGCTCCCCTCTGCCCCCATAGCGTGTCCGGCCTGTTGTGTCTGGTTATGCTGCTCTGTCTACCCATTTCTCCCTCCTTCTCCATTTCCTCCCACCCTCACCTTGGCAAACTCCCTCTTAGCCTTTAAGACTTTACATAAGCATCTTTTCTAACAGGAAGCCAACCTTCTGCCTGTGTTGGGGTTTCTCGTCTACCAGCCCACAATACCCCCTGTGCTTCTTTCCATCATTAGATTTATTACATTATATTTTATATATCTATTAATGACAGGTCTGCTGTAGCAGAAGGTGGGCTTTCTGGAAGACAGAACCCATGCCGTCATTTTCTGTGTCCCTAGTATCTTAGCAAAGTAGCTGACACGTATTACATGCTCAATAAATGTTTACTTATTTGACAAGTCAGTCTGGGGGAGTTCATTAATAAAGAACGTGAAGATATATATTCAATCAGTTAATTAATATATCCAGCCCAGACTTAGTTCAGTTCCACATTCATGACACTATATTGCTGAGTGATTGTCAGCAGTTCGTTTTGCCTTATTTTTATTTTTTATTTTATTTTTTTTGAGATGGAGTTTTGCTCTTGTCGCCAAGGCTGGAGTGCAGTGGCATGATCTTGGCTCACTGAAACCTCTGCCTCCTGGATTCCAGCGATTCTCCTGCCACAGCTGCCCAAGTAGCTTGGATTACAGGCGCCTGCCACCACACCCAGCTAATTTTTGTATTTTTAGTAGAGACTGGGTTCCTCCATGTTGGCCAGCTGGTCCCAAACTCCTGACCTCAGGTGATCCACCCACCTTGGCCTCCCAAAGTGCTGGGATTACAGGTGTGAGCCACCGCCCCCAGCCATTTTAACTCTTTAGACTTTAGGTTTTTTTTTTTTTTTTTTTTAAATCAGTTAACTTTTGCTGTGTGTCAGTTCACCCTAAAACTTAATGGTCTGAAACATTTACTTATTAGTTCAGTTGTTTCTACTGGGCTGACCTGTACGGTTCTTCTGCTGGGCCACTTACGTGCCTGCAGCAAGCTGGCAAGTTAGCAAGCGTCAAATTCACTGCCCATCCTGAATGGAGAAGTGGATAGGAGAAGTAAGCAATCAACAAATAGATAACAGTTCACCGTAGAGGCTGTCAGTTCTTCCTCATAGCGCTGTCCAGTTGGAATTATGATTTCAGTTGTATATTTGAAGAGGAAATGGAAACACCAAAGAAAGAATGGCCAAATGGGGCTTGACCTACTGTCTTCTGACCTGAGGTGAGATGCCCTTTCCACATTGTTATTGTTTCTCTGCAGTTTTGAAGGCTCCTTTCAGTACTACGGCCTTCATCCTGTGGCTTAAAACCAGGCATTTTGTACACTAAGCATTGAATGAGATGAGTGGTCTTCAGACTTTTATGTATTTACTACTTGTTGCCATGACGTATCAGGTCTCTCCCTGGTTTAAAAAAAAAAAAAAAAAGCCCACTTTCTAGAAAAGGGCCTTTGCATGATGTACAGGTATTCAATTACGCTATTTCTCAATTATGGCAAAGTTAAAGGTCATAAAAACCTCTGGTGTTGTGTATAAATTTTATTCCTGTTGCCCTAGCTGCAAATCAGATAATCTAATAGTTGTTGAAATTGTAAGAATCCTGTTGGGTGTAAACTTTTACTCCTACAGTAACTGTGCAGCACAAAGATGTTAAATTAAAAAATAGCGGTAGTAATATTATTAGCTGCTGATGGCATGTCGTACTTTTAAGACGGCGTGAGGACTTGAGAAGAAAGCAAATCCTTAGTATGTGCTACGAAAATTCTGCATCCCATTTGTTATGCTGAGCCCCTGTCTACTCCAGTGGGCATGGCACTAGGTTCAGGAGGCCAAAGAAGAAACCCAGGGCCAGCAAATGAGACGTTGGGTTTAACTGGGGGCTTACATATATGGGGAGAGATTCCAGTGGCAGCGGGCTGGACAGATCTGCCTTACGTACAGCCCAGTGGCAACAGGCTGGTCAGGAGAACCCCAGGACCCAGTGGCAGCAGGTTGGGCAGGAAAACTGCAACTACTTATGAAAGGCATGCAGTTTATATAACATTTTGGCTTAGCACCTGTGTTAGTCCATTTTCATACTACTATAAAGAACTGCTTGAGACTGGGCAATTTGTAAAGGAAAGGGGTTTAATTGACTCACAGCTTAGCATGGCTGGGGAAGCCTCAGGAAACTTATAATCATGGCGGAAGGTGAAGCGGGAGCAAGGCATCTTCTTCACAAGATGGCAGGAAGGAGAAGTGCTGAGTGAAGGGGGAAGATCCCCCTAGAAAGCCATCAGATCTGGTGAGAACTCACTCGCTCACTATCATGAGAACAGCATGGGGGAAACCACCTCCATAATTCAGTAACCTCCACCTGGTCTCTCCCTTGACACATGGGGATTATGGGGATTATAGGAATTACAATTCGAAATGAGATTTGGGTGGGGACACAAAGCCTAACCATATCAGCACCCTTTCCCTAACAACCTCCAGTGGGGGTGGCACCAGGAGGTTGCCAAGTAGCACCACTTCAATCATCCCAAAACTCAGGGCCTCAATTCCCTGTATGGCTTGTATTCCATGGGACAGTTTGGGAGCTCAGATGTTTCTTATAGACAAGGAATGAATCTCCAGGTTGGCCTTTCCTGGATTCTCCAGTTCAGAACATACATTCAGGTACGTCTGTCAAACAGGGTCATTCTCAGGGTATGCTTAAGTTATTGCTGTCAGGTGCGTTTACCATACACCATTTTAATGACTACTGACCACCTTGGACCAAATTACCACAGAAGTTCCTGTCATCCCTGAAATTATACAAATGGGAATGATTCTGTGAATTGATATGCTGGTGATGAGTTGAGATACAAGACAAAAGGACTTTTGAAAGACTTTCGGCTCAGAAAGTCCAGCTATAAATAGCTTCATTGCTTCCCAAGCACATTATGGGGATTAACTAATACATGGTTATAAAATACATTGACAAATGAAGTACCTTACTAATGTTAATAATAATATAATAATAGTGGTGCAGGATGCTTCTTTTGGCTTTCACTGTTAATTATAGTAATTAGATTTATTTTCCAGACAAGATTTGGTGCAAATTTTCATTTAAGGCTTGCTTCATTACATCAAATCAGTTTTACTTCTGCCATATGCTTGATGACATATTTCAAAAGATAGTAAAAGAGTAATATAGACACACTTGCACACTAATGCCAACGCTGACAATTGCTGCGACCTGTTGGAGAGAAATTAATACAATGTGGGAAGACCTTGACCCAGTATGACCACCGTAGGGACTCTCCCTTAAAAAGAGAACCCTAACAATAGAAAAACCTTTTATAAAATATTGCTTTATAATTATAAAATTGGATAATACTTAAGAACAGAATAAATAATGGAACATTCTCTTATGGTAAACCATGTACTCAGTTTTGAAAAGTATGGCATACCATGAAGCAATGCTTATATAAAATAAGTGAAAATATAATTTAAAATGGGATGCATCGTATATATTTCAGTATACACACACATGCCTATATGTGACATGTACACATATACAGGGTCAAAATGCAGACTAGCAGAAAATACATAAGAAATAGGACTTTTGCGTCTTGTGTTTGGGTGGTAGAAATAAAGGTAATCTTGTTTTTTTTGAGACAGATTCTTGTCCTGTCATCCAGGCTGGAGTGCAGTGGCCTGATCTTGATGCAATCTCAGCTCACTGAAACCTCCACTTCCTGGGTTCAAGCAATTCTCCTGCCTCAGCCTCTTGAGTAGCTGGGACTATAGGCATGCACCACCACGCCCGGCTAATTTTTTTTAGTGGAGATGGGGTTTTACCATGTTAGCCTGGCTGGTCTGGAAGTCCTGACCTCAGATGATCCACCTGCCTCGGCTTCCCAAAGAGCTGGGGTTACAGGTGTGAGCCACCATGCCTGGGCGTAATCTTGTTTTTGTTTTCAGTGTTACATATATTTTTGGTTGTGTCAGCATGCAACCTCTATGGTGAAGAAGAAAGATGGATGAGAAAAATATATACAAATTATAAATGACAAAGGTTTGTTTGTTACCCAGTAGAAAATAGCACAATACACGTCTGTATCACCTAGACGGCAGGCTATTCAGAGGAAAATTGGGGGGAATGCCTGTGACTCCAATCCCAGTTGCAGATAAACGGGGAAATATTGCTGCTCTTCAAGGAAACTAAACTCTTAGGGAGCAGAGAAAAGAAATATTTATTTAGCAACTAAGTGTTTACCTCCTGGGCAGGAAAGTGGATCAGCTTGTAAAAATTTAATATTTGTTTGCTAGCATGATCTGCTTTCACACTCTACAGCCTTGTTGGCAGGATGAAGCTGGGTTATTTGCCTTACTTTGCATATCAAGTAGTTGTTTTTGGTTTTGTTTTTTTAAACTTCACTTGTGCCCCTGAAGGACGTGGTGAATAAAAGAGCATATTCGTGACCAGTATCTGCCTTTAATTGTCTTATCCCTTATTCAGGCTTGAATTCATTGTAGAACTGTCTGAGTTGTGCATAGGATTTGAATAAAACAAAGAAGCAGGCCTGGGTTCTGGTTCTGCTCCTACCAGGCCTGAGCTGGGTGACCCTAAGCACGTGCCTCTACATCTTGGAGCTTTGGCTTGTTTCTCAACCTGCCTTAGAGCCCCGTTTTGAATATGGGAATATAGGCTGTATGTAATACTTGTCTGTATTTTATTTATTTAACAAATACAAATGTAGCTCTTGCTCTGTATCAGGGTCTGTTCCAAGTGTTTTCCAGATGGTAATGCATTGATTCCTCATATGCCTTCAGGAGGTGAGCACTATTATGATGTCCATTTTACTCAGAGTTAAACTAAAGAACAAGATGGTAAGTCGTGGCTCAAGGTCTCAGTGAGAAGATGGGCAGAGCCTAGTTGGAAACCAGGCAATCTAGCTTCAGAATCTGAGCTTCTCAACAAAAAGAAGTTCTCATTTTTAGTATCATGCTTCTTTTTTCTTTTTTTCTTTTTTTTTTTTTTTTTGAGACAGAGTCTCACTCTGTCACCCAGGCTGGAGTGCAGTGGCGCAGTCTCGGCTCACTGCAAACTCTGCCTCCCAAGTTCAAGCAATTCTCCTTCCTCAACCTCCCAACTATCTGGGATTACAGGTGCCTGCCACCACACCTGGCTAATTTTTGTATTTTTAGTAGAGATGGGGTTTTGCCACGTTGGCCAGGCTGGTCTCGAACTCCTGACTTCAAGTGATCTGCCTGCCTTAGCCTCCCAGAGTGCTGGGATGACAGGTGTGAGCCACTGTGCCCGGTCTCATTATTCTTACTTTTACTTTTAATTTTCATTCTGGGTGATAGTGTAGACGTTGTGATCTCCATAATCATTTTGATGCAGGATTTTTTGTTCCTTAGCTCAGCTAGGTCTGGGTTCTTGTCTCGTGACCAGGAAGAATTAGGCACACGGACACTCAAAGAATGAGCAAGATGGGAAGTTTTATTGAGTGATGAAACAGCTTTTAGTGGGGAGAGGATGCGGGGTGGTCCCCCTACTCAAAGGCAGGAGAGTTCCCAATATAGCTGAGCTCAAGGCTTCTTATGGGCTCAGAATAGGAAGTGCATGCTGATTAGTTTGTGACTATGCAAAAGAGGTTAAAGCAAAGACACCACACAAAGGTGGGCATGATAGTGTAGAAAACCGATTAGGAAAGGGTAGTTATGTGTAAAATAGGTGAAGGATGTGGATTAATTAGGGGAAATCACACCAAACAGGAAGGCGGGTTCTCAATCCAGTTCCAGAATTTACCCAGGACTGTTTCTGGCTTGAAGGTTGGATTTCACTGGGGACCTGTTCCTTTCTGCCTAGGCATTTGTCTGCCTTTTGCCTCTATCAATTCTCACCCCTTCCAGGTATGTATTTTTGAGGTGTTAAGTGTAGAATCAATACAGGTTTTAAAGGCCTGGGCATCAGTATTTCTAGTTAAGTCTTAAGAAAATAGCATAGGCACGTGATATCTTTGAACAGGTAAGAGATCAATGGTATTTGGTCATACCCATAAATATTAAAACCAAAAGGAACTGCTTTTTATAGTGCAGATGTTAAGCTTCACATGGGCTATTGTATTTGAATGTTATCCCGACCTGGTGCCATTATCCCCATAAACAGATGAGGAAACCAAGGCTCAGGGAAGTTAAATAGTTTGTTCAAGGTCACAGATGAATCAGTCTCCAACCTGGACTCTGCCAGCCCCTACAATCCATGCTGCTTTTACTGCATTACAAGGCCTTTTGATTTTTCTTGAAAGTTGCTCTGTTCTTCTCTTTTGGAAAGCTTTTCTGATATGGCACTGACTTGTCCTTGAATCTTCCCATATCATCAAAGGCACTTGGCCACTCTCAAATGAAGGACTCACTGAAAAACTCTCATTCTGGCTGCGGTGATTTTCTGAAATGAGTCCTATTAAATCTGTAAGTGCAACAGATTCACTGAGAATTCAGGTTGCTGTCACACGCGCTTTCTTTTCCTAAGTTTGCCATTGCATTGTAAATTTAATAATTAAAGATTATTTCAGCTCAAATGTCCTTGTATATTTTAATGAAAACAGGCCCTAGATTGCCTTGGAGGGACTGTGGCACATTCCTGACAAAATAAGGAAGGCAGGAAGAAAGCAATGGCTTAATCATCTTTGCCTCTTTGTAGTACCATATTTATTGCATCTCAGCCTGGAACAAGGGAGCAGTTAAGGAAACCAGAGGGAGCAGAAGCGTTGCTCATTAAGAGTGAAGTCTGCAGGCTCTGCTGGAGAGGAAGCACATACTTGCTTCCTTCTTTGGTGTAGAATTGTGGTCTGGTCTGTCTGTGGACCACACTTGATGTCTGCAGCAATATGTGGGTTGCAGTAACCCAGGCATGCTATGTGGGACCACTCTGTATTAAGATGTGTACCCAAGCTGGCCTGGCCAGGCAGAAGCTTTTTCTAAGGGGCCTCAGGCAGTGCTCGCAAGTGTATTTATAACTGGTAGCTGGCATAAAAGACTATTTTAGATGTTATACAAATATAAAACTAAATAGCCTTGAATCATATATTGAGAAAATTATTCCTCTGAATGAGTTTTTATTATCTGCAGTTGGCGAAATTCTCTTTGGTGTAAATATGTCCTTAACATCTGTCTAACTCTTGCTAATCTCCCTTTGAACAAAAGAGAATAGGATGTAGACTCATAGGCTTTGGCTGATTTTGGAATTTGCAGGGCTCTGTCATTAAAACTATTTCTTACCTTCCTGAGTTAGGAACCAAATGTGAAATAAGGCTCAGAAGTCACGCATATAAAGAATGAAATAAGCCTCCTTTATGGCCGTTAGTCTTGAGTATAGGATGTTCTTTCAACTGTGGCCACAAATAGAGCTCTCACTTATGTCTCCATGAATTGGACTTACCTCCCGGTCAGAGGCCAGCCTGGACAATTGCGGGGTTTCCCACATGGGCACACCATTTACTGCTTAGCACATCCCCCTAGGGAAGGAAGCCCAGAAACAGAAGCAGAGCAGGCCTCCTTCCCTCTCCCAAATACACAGGTCAGACCAACATTCCAATATTTGCCTATTCCTCTGAGATGAATAAGTAAATATGATAAAATTTGCTCTTTAAAAGTGTACAATTTAGTGGTTGTTTAGTAAATTCACAGAATTGTGCAACTATCCTCAGTATTTAATATCAGAGCATTTTTATAACCTTAAAAAGAAATCCCCAGCCCCAATACTACTCATTTCCTCCTCTTCCCATCCCATACCAACCACTAATCTGCTTTCTGTCTTTTTGGATTTGCCTGTTCTGGACATTTCATGAAAGTGAAATCATACAGTATTTAGTCTTTTGGACTGGCTTTTTTTCATATGGCAGAATGTTGTCAAAGTTCATCCCTGATGTAGCATGTATCAGTTCTTCATTTATTTTAATTACCCACAAATATTCCATTGTATGAATATACCCCATTGTATTATCCATTCATCAGCTGATGGCCATTTCAGTTTTTTCCACTTCTTTTTTTTTTTCTTTTGAGACAGAGTCTTGCTCCATTGCCCAGGCTGGAGTGCAATGGTGTGATCTCGGCTCACTGCAACCTCCACCTCTTGGGTTCAAGCAATCCTCCTGCCTCAGCCTCCCAAGTAGCTGGAATTACAGGTGCCTGCCACCATGCCCAGCTAATTTTTTAATTTTTTAAATTTTCTTATTTTTTTGTTTTTGGGAGAGACAGGGTTTCGCCATGTTGGCCAGCTTGGTCTTGAACTCCTGACCTCAGGTGGTCCACCCACCTCAGCCTCCCAAAGTGCTGGGATTACAGGCATGAGCCACAGTGCCCGGCCATCCACTTCTTGACTATTATGAACAATTCTGCTAAGAATGTTCTGTATAAGCTTTTGTGTTGACATCTGTTTTCATATTTTTATAGATATTTTTATTTTTATGCTTAATTTTTTGAGAAATTGCCAAACTGTTTCTCCTACCAGCTGCTTCATTTTACAGTTCCACCGGTAACCATTGAGGGTTCCAATATCTGCAAATTCTTAATCACTGTTTGTTATATATCTTTTTTATTTTTGCCATTCTAGTGGGTAAGTGGCTTATTGTGGTTTTGATATGCATTTCCCTAATGATTAATGATATTGAATGTCTTTTCGTGTGCTTGTTGGCCATTTGTATATCTTCTTTGAGAAATGGTTATTTAAATCCTTTGCTCAATTTTTATTGGCTTACTTGTCCTTTTATTGTTTGAGCTGTAAAGTATCTTTATATATTGTGGATACAGGTTGCTTATCAAATATATGCTTGAAAATATTATCTCCCACTCTGGTAGTTTTTCACTTTCTTGATCATGTCCTGTGAAGCACAAAGTTTCTTCCTTTTTTTTTTTTTTTTGTTTTTCCTTAACACTAATTTATTTCATATGGTTCTGAAGTTGGGGCAGTCTGAGATCAGGGTGCTGGTCTGAGATCGGGATCTGGTAGGAATGGACCCTTTTCCTGGTTTGCAGATGGCCACCTTCTTGCTGTGTCTTCACATGGCAGACAGCAGAAAAAGAGAAAGGGTTTTTTAAAAATTATTTCAGTGAAATCTGTTTTTTCTTTCATTGTTTGTGCTTCAGGGACCATATCTAAGAAACAATTACCTAACCCAATGTTAAAAGATTTGCTCCTGCATTTTTTTCTAAGTGCCTCTGTACCTAACTTCCAGGTAATTATGTCAAGCTGTGGGCATTTGAATCTCTTTGGTAATTGCGTCAAACTGAGGGCATTTGGATCTTTTTGGTAATTATTCATGTGTTCATTTATTCATTCTTTCCTTAAACAATCACTGAGTATTTCTACCTGTAAGGGGCTGTAAAAAAAAAAATCTAGGTATAAGATTCTTAACAAAATAAAGCATCCATGCTAAGATTCCATCTAGCAGGGAACAAAGAAGAAGTAAATAGTCGATTATTTCAAAGATCTGAACTAAGGTTTGAGCACAGACTCAGCTGGAGCCACTAAGAAGGGCGTCTGACACCGTGGAATGGCCTCCTCAGAACTGTGGTGTCTAACTTGAGAACAGAAGGCCAGACGCAGTTAGCGGGGTGAAGCGTAGATGGTCCAGGAAAAGGCGACAGCATGGGCACAAGCCTGCCAGGAGAGCATGCTCAACCCTGGAACTGCACCCGAGACCAGCTAGATGCTCTCTAAGCGCTGGGGTTGTAGAGAGTAAACAAGAGAGGAGGTACTTTGTGAAGCTGGAGAAGCGCTATCCTCCACAGCTGACAGTCTCATGGAGGGTAGGAGGTAGTCTTGGAGGTTAACATGGAGATTTCCAGTGATAATAAATGCTAGGAAGAAATCTGACAGGACAGTGGGATGGAGAGTGATGGGGGAGATGGGGCTGCGTTGGATGGGGTGACTGTGGAAGGTTTCCCCGGGAATGTGGCTGTTGACTTTATTCCTGCAGGAGGAGCAGGAGCTGGTCACAGGCAGAACTGAGGGAGAAATGGCTGGAGTGCAGGGTTTAAGGAAGGGGTGTGAAGATATGAGCTTTGAGGGACAGATAGGGTGAGATCGTTGAAGGTCTTTTTTGCTCCATGCGAGAGGCTGGGGCTTATATATTGTACAGTGAGCAAGGGGCTGTGTGATTACATTAGAGCAAGTGTATGGCTTAGGGGCTAGAGGATATATCAGAGTGAGTTAGAGAGTCAGAAAAACAGTGAATATATTCATGAGAAAAAAGAGTGAATATTTTCATGAGATGTCCCCAAGGTTGGATAGGATAATGAGGCTAACATTTACTAAGTCCTCACTTCCTGCCAGTCCTTGTTGTAAGTGCTGCATATGTTTTAGCTCAATCGATCTGACAATAACTGTAAGGTAGGAGCTATTGTGATCAAGCCCATTTTGAAGATTTGGAAACTGAGACTCAGAGGTGAAGAAGCTTTCCCAAGGTTCAACATTTGTTCATGACAGAACCACGTTAAGAAAAAAAAAACAGGCAGTTTTGCTTTCAAGACCCAGCTCCTAACCATTAAGCTAAGCTGCCTTTCAGGACTTGAGGTTGATTGAGTGTGTGGCATACAGCTGGGTGGGGGGCCCAGGGCATACCCCCATTTCTAGCTTATGAGGCTGGGTGAATGAGGCACCTTTAACGCAGGCAGGAAATTCAAGGGGAAACCTGTGTAAGGGGCCAGGAGAGGGAAAACTGATTTCTGTTTTGGAAATTGAGGAAGCCACTCATCCATGCAGTCCTGCAGAATAAACAAAAGCCCCTCCTTACTGTGTCAGGTGGTGCTCTGGGAGCTAGGATGCAGCAGTGAATGCAAGACCCAGTCTCTGTCCCCAAGGAGCTTAAATTCTAAAGAAGAGACAGGTCCCAGACAAACACTCCACAAATCATTAGAAACTTGGTGTGTAGTAGCCGGGCGTGATGGCACATGTCTGTAATCCCAGCTACTCAGGAGGCTGAGGCAGGAGAATCTCCTGAACCCAGGAGGCGGAGGTTGTGGTGAGCCAAGATCGCGCCATTGCACTCCAGCCTGGGCAAAAAGAGTGAAAACTCTGTTTCCAAAAATAGAAGAAACTTGTGTGTAGTAGAATTGTAATTGGGTGCTTCTTGATTCCCAGGGACCTGTGGGATGTGAAAGTGGGGCCATCTGGTTGACAGTCAGATTTACAGGTTAAAGCTCAGGGGAACTATTTCGGCTTACACAGAAGCTCCAAGAAAGGTGGTCTGGGCAGTATTTTCATGTGCTTGTGCCATGGTTTGGTGAGCCTAAAAGGAAAAGGCCACTATCAGGAACTGCAGTCTGGGCCCAAATTCTTATGATGGTACCCAAAGTGGAACATTAATGGAACCCCTCAAGCATGCTGTCTGATAGGAGTCAGACACAAGCTGCTGATAGTTAGCCCGCCTTTGATTGCTGAGACAATATCAGCAAACTGCCAAGGTCTTGGTTGTCACCTGGGCTGAGGGGCTCATGTGTTTTCTGATTAAGCATTTGTATATTCTCAGGCAAGCTAATGAAACCCACTATTCCCTTTGACAATGCAGACACCTAGTATTGCCATAAAGGTGAGGGTGAGGTTTCTTTCTGGATTTACTCTGCCTTCTGGACAGAAGCTTTAAATAGACCAGAGGCAGAAGAAGATTGAAGGAGGAAGCCCCATCCTAATGTTTGTAGCATCTTTCTTTAAGGGCTTGCTCCTCTTACCCCACACTGGTCCACCTTCTGCTCTGTAACCAGGTTAAAACTTCCCAGAATTATAACTTCTATTTGCTGCCTGCTGAGCCTCCAAACCTTGTCTGGCTGTTTCTCTTAGAGAATGAAGTTTGCAGTTCCTAGGAACTCACACATTCTAGCCCAGTCTGTCCTGTAGACGTGGTCTCTCTTTTTTTCTTTTTATCCTCCCTATTTCTGGCATTAAGTAGGTGTGCAGTAAATGTTGTTGTATGATCCACCCAAATATGACTATTGTTCTTTCACAGACCTGCTCTGTACTTTACCACCTTTGTTCCTTTCTTACTCTATCAGAGTTGTCCCTTGGTATATAGAGGGGATTGGTTCCAGGCAACCCACATATCCAGAATCTGCACATATTCAAGTCCTGTAGTTAGCCCTATGTCACCTATCCCTGTTAGACTGTTCTTGTGTTGCTATAAAGAAACAACTGAGGCTGGGTGCTGTGGCTCATGCCTGTAATCCCAGCACTTTGGGAGGCCAAGGCAGGCAGATCTTGAGGTCAAGAGTTCAAGACCAGCCTGGCCAATGTGGTGAAACCCCATCTCTACTAAAAATACAAAAATTAGCCGGGCATGGTGGTGGGTGTCTGTATTCCCAGCTACATGGGAGGCTGAGGCAGGAGAATAGCTTGAACCCGGGAGGTGGAGGTTGCAGTGAGCCAAGACCATGCCACTGCACTCTAGCCTGGGCAATAAGAGCGAAACTCTTTCACTGGGGGTGGGTGGGGGGAAACTTAAGACTGGGCAATTTAGAAAGAAAAGAGATTTAATTGGCTCACAGTTCTGCAGGCTGCACAAGCATGGTGCCAGCATCTGCTCGGCCTCTGGGGAGGCCTCAGGGAGCATTTACTTATGTCAGAAGGGCAAAAAAGGAGCAGGCACATCACATGGTGAAAGTAGGAGCAAGAGAGAGGGTGGGAGGTGCCACAATCTTTAAACAGCCAGCTCACATGAGAACTCACTCAGTATTGTGAGGACAGCACCAAGCCATTAGGGATCCACCCCCATAACCCAGACATCTTCCACCAGGCTCCACCTTCAACGCTGGGGATTACCTTTCAACATGAGATTTGAGTGGGGGAAAAATATCCAAACTATATCATTCCTCTCCTGGCCCCCGAAATGTCATGTCCTCCTCACATTTCAAACTACAATCATTGTTTCTCACTAGCCTCCCAAAGTCTTAACTCATTCCATTTTTAACTCAGAAGTCCCAAGTTCAAAGTCCCATCTGAAGATGAGTTCCTTCTACCTGTGAGCCTGTAAAATCAAAACGCAGTATTTACTTCCAAGATGCAATGGTGGTACAGGCATGAGGTCAACACTCTTATTCCCAAAAGGAGAAACTGGCCAAAAGAAAGGTGCTACAGGCCCCCACACAAGTCTGCAACCCAGCAGGGCAGTCATTAAGTCTTAAAGCTCCAAAATAATTCTTGACTCCATGTCCCATACCTAGGGCACACTGGTGCAATGGGCAGGCTCCCAAAGCCTTGGGCAGGAACACTCCTGTGGCTTTGCAGTGTACAGCCCCTGCAGCTGCTCTCATGGGTTGGAGTTGAGTGTCTGTTGCTTTTCCAAGCACAAAGGTGCACATCGCCAGTGGATCTACCATTCTAGAATGTGGACGATAGTGGCCCCCTTCCCACAGCTCTGCTAGGCAGTGTCCCAGAGGGGACTTTGTGTGGGGTCTCCAACCCCACATATAACCTAAGCACTGCCCTAATAGAACATCTCTGGTGGGCTCTGCCCCTGTAGCAGGCTTCTGCATGGGCACCCAGGCTTTCTTATACATTCTCTGAAATCTGGTAGAGGCTGTCAAGCCTCCTTCACTCTTGCACTCTCCGTCCTGACAGGCTTAACACCCCATGGAAGTTGCCAAGGTTTATAGCTTGCACTCTCTGAAGCTGCAGCCTGAGATGTATCTTGGGCCCTTTGGGCTGAGGCTGGAACTGGAGAGGCCACAATGCAAAGAGCAGCCTTTTGGGGTGGTGCAGGGCAATGGTGTCCTGGCCCTGGCCCAGGAAACCATTCTTTCTTCCTAGGCCTCTGGGCCTGTAATGGGAGGGGCAGCCTGGAAGACTTCTGAAATGCCTTCAGGGCCTTTTTCCCATTGTCTTGGCTGTCGTACCTGGCCCCTTTTTAGTTATGCTAATATCTCTAGCAAGTTGTGGGTTCTTCTCCCCCACCACCCACCACCACCCTATAAAGCCTTTTCTTTCTTTTCCACATGGTTAGGCTACGAAATTTCCAAATTTTTACACCCTGCTTCCCTCTTTAAGTTCCAACTTTTAGATCATTGCTTTGCTCCTCCATCTGGACACTTTGCTGCTTAGAAATGTCCTCTGGCAGATACCCTAGGTTGTCACTCTTAAGTTAAAACTTCCACAGATCTCTAGGGCATGGACTCAATACAGTCACATTCTTTGCTAAGGCACATCAAGGGTGACCTTTAATCAAGTTCCCAATAAGTTCCTCATTCGCATCTGAGAACTTGTCAGACTGGACTTCAGTGTCCTTATCACTATCTGCATTTTGGTCACAACCATTAAACCAGTCTATAAGAAGTTCCAGACTTTCCCATCTTCTTCTGAGCCCTCCAAACTCTTAGCCCCTGTATGTTACCCAGCTCCAAAGTTGCCTCCATATTTTCATATATGTTTATAGTAGTATCTCACTCCTGGTACCAATTTTTCTGTGTTAGGCTGTTCTTGCCTTGCTATAAACACCTATGACTGGATAATTTATAAAGAAAAATGGTTTAATTGGCTCATGATTCTGCAGGCTGTACAAGCATGGCACCAGCATCTGCTTGGCTTCTAGGGACACCTCAAGGAGTGTTTACTTATGGCAGAAGGTGAAGCAGGAACAGGTACATCACATGCAAGAGGAGAGTGGGAGCAAGAGAAAGTGTTTAAAAAAAGAGAAACTCTTTTTTTCTTAAACTCTTAAAAACTCTTAAAAAAAACTTCTTAAAAAAAGAGTTTCTCTTTTTTTAAACAACCAGATCTTGAGAAAATTCACATCATGAGGACAGCACCAAGCCATGAGGGATCCGCCCCCATGACCCAAACACTAACCATCAGGCCTCACCTCCAAAATTGGGGATTACGTTTCAACATAAGATTTGGATGGGGAAAAATATCCAAACTGTATCACAGCCTGTGGGAAAAATCAGCCCTCAGTATAGCTGGGTTTCCCATTCCAGATTTTGTTGAAAAAAATCCATATGTCAGTGGACCCATACAGTTCAACCCCATGTTACTCAACGGTCAACTGCACTTCCCTGCTGAATGCCTCCCTTTCTCCTCCTCTGCCCATTTAGAGCTCCCATTTAATTGCCACATAGTTCATGGAAACCTCCCAGATTCTTCACTACCAAAATGTCATCTCTTTCACCCTCACCACCATGTAGCTTTTGTGCTCCTCCTTGTAGAGTCGTCATATATGGTTGTGCAGGTTGTTTTCAATCTAACTCTGAGAGTGTCCTGCATATTACCTGTTGGTTTATGTGGAAGGCTCCCTGGGAAGTGGGCCATTCCCAAGCTCAGCTGTTGTGGGTGGCAGCCCAGCACAGCGGCGCATCCATGTTCTGACGTTTGTGGAGTTTTTTGTATTCTGTCTTCCTCTGACTCTCCAAGATCGTAAGCTGCCTGTAGAGAACACTCGTAGCTCATTCATCACCTGTATCCCTGTTGTAACTTATATGTAGTTATTGCTTAATAGCTCTTTGTTAGATATTCATTCAGCCCGTTTTTTGTCTGTGCTTGGAAGAACTAATTGAAAATACTTCATCAAAAACGCGATGCAAAAGTAGTAGAGAAAAAAAGCAGTATCATAAGTTAATATTGGTAATAGATAACCTGTATTGAAATCTTACCATATATCAGGTAGTACTTTACTAAGCACTTTATGTTTATTATGTTATTTTATCCTCACAATTATCCAGTATAATATTCCTTGCTTCCCATTATCTCTTTCCTGCTTTGGAGATGAGAAAATTAGGCCTTGAGAGATGAAGTGACTTGCTTACAGTCACTCAGTAGGTACTGCAGCCGGGATGCCAAGCCAGGCATTCTGGAACATAGTCCAAACTCCGAACTCTTGATACAAAGTGTGCCATCAACTGTTTCTGCCCTCCTATGCTGGTGGTTACAGTGATAATACAAGGAGGGGCATTGGCTTTTTGTTGTTGTTACAGGAATATCTATTCAGGACCCATGATTCACCAGGTTCTTTGCTGGATACTGTGGATGGGGATGAAAAGATGGTTTCTGTCGTCTGTGGTCTCACAGTAGGGACAAGGAGCCAGCAGTTTAAATACGTATCACAATGCCTTGCTACAGATGGCGGATGAGCTTTTCACACAAGGTGCAGAGTTAGCAGAAGAAAGACACGAGGAAGTGCTCAAAGAAGATTTCCAGGAGGAGATGACTTACAAAGGGAATTTTGAAGAATGAACAGGAATTCATGGGGCTTCCAAGCAGGGAAGGGCATTCCATGGAGAGGGAACAGCACAAGCAAAGATACAGAAATATGGAAAGTATGATGCATTAGAGCAAATATAAGAAGCTTGGTCCATTTATTATTGTCACCCCATGGCTAAAATTAAGCTGCCCCTCTACTGTAGATGAACATGCAACTTGACCATGATATAGGCTTACCTTTATCCATTCTCCGTTAATAAGAATCCATTATGGCAACTGTGGCCTTGGGAGACAGTCGTGGAAACACTGAGGGCCAAATGGACCGTCTGTCTCCCTGGTGACTTTGTCCTGCTGCCTCTGACTTGGCCCTCAGGTAAGCCACTGGCCAGTGGGCAAACACAGCATTGTCCCTTCATGCCACCAAGCATCACCAAGGCCCAGTGGCAGCTTCTTATAGGGCATTTAGGGAAGCTGTAGGGAAAATATGCCCCTTTCCCCTGAGCATGGTGAGCATAGATAATTTTATGGGAAAGTTGCAGTCTTTAAAAGGCAGTGGGTCCCATGGGGAAATTCTGCAGTGCTGACTGCTTTTTGATTCGTTTATTCAGTTTATTACCCTTAGGCACCTGTTACATGTATGGCAGGTTGGCCTTGAGAAATTTCTTTCTTCAGGTCTAGACCCACCCATTCAGCAGCAGCACTGGCTTTGCCACCCCTGACTTCAGCTTGGTTGCCCAATCCCAGACTCACTGTCCTCCTCCAAGGTGCCTTTCTCATTGTATTCCCTGTCCTGGAGCCATTGCCGCTGACCCAGGAACCCCAGTGTTGCCTTCTGCTCCTCCCTCTTTTTTTTCTCATATCTAATATCTGTTCTCCTGAAATCCTCTAGATCCAGCTTCCTTGTTGCTCTTCCTGGGATAGACACTTTTTTTTTTTTTTTTTTTTTTTGAGATGCAGTTTTGCTCTTGTTGCCCAGGCTGGAGTGCAATGGCACGATCTTGGCTCACAGCAACCTCTGCCTCCCAGGTTCAAGTGCTGCTCCTGCCTCAACCTCCCAAGTAGCTGGAATTACAGGCATCTGCCACCACGCCTGGCTAATTTTGTATTTTTAGTAGAGACAGGGTTTCGCCATGTTGGTCAGGCTGGACTCAAACTCGTGACCTCAGGTGATCCGCCCACCTCGGCCTCCCAAAGTGCTAGGATTACGGGTATGAGCCACGGCACCTGGCCAACACTGTCTTAATCGGATTCTCATTTCACATCCACCAAGTCTAATGATCTCCTAAATGACATGTCTACATCTGTTCCCCTCATCTCCCATCTATCCATTCAGTTCATTGATTCAACTCCTACTCTCTTCTAGGCACTGTGCTGTAGATCATGGGCCTGTCTATTTGAATGTATCTGATGTGATCCTTGAGCTTGCTGAGCTCACATGGGGGGTGTAGACAAGTAGACAGGCAACCACTACATAAGGATGAGTAGGCCGGTACGTATGGCTGGGATAACAGTTAGGAAGGACCCCTGACCTAGATGTGGGTAGTCAGGAAAGGATCCTAGGAGCAAATGATGGCGGTCCTAAGGCAGACTAAGAGATAACCAAGTGCTGAATGTGGAGGTGCAGGGTGGGCAAGACTGTGAGCTCCATGACAGCAGGGGCAGTGTGGGTATGTCTGACTCACCACTGTGTCCCCAGCATCCAGCTCATCCCCTGACAAATAGGGTGTACTCAGTGAGGATTTATTGAATGAGCAACTGCGGGACAGATGCCTGCAGAGCAAGCTAAATATGATAAGGCCCAGGGTGGAGAGAGAGCACGGGGTAGGGGGCGGGAAACTGAGAGATGGTCTGTATGTCTGGAACATAGGACAGGTGTGGGGAGTGACCATGCCGACGGCCGAGAGCTAAAAGGCCAGTCATCCTGCCCCCCACACCTCCCTGAAGTCTAGTCTGTTAATTTTTATTTTATTTTATTTTATTTCATTTTATTTTATTTATTTATTTTGTGATGGGGTCTCGCTCCATCACCCAGGCTGGAGTGCAGTCGTGCAATCTCGGCTCACTGCAACCTCCACCACCCAGATTCAAGCAATTTTCCTGCCTCAGCCTCCCAAGTAGCTGGGACTACAGGCATGTGCCACCACACCAGGCTAATTTTTTGTGTTTTTAGTAGAGATGGGGTTTCACTGTGTTACCCAGGATGGTCTCGATCTCCTGATCTCATTATCTACCCACCTTGGCCTCCCAAAGTGCTGGGATTACAGGCGTGAGCCGCCGTGCCCTGTCCAAACTGTTTTAATTAAACTTTCATTGCATTCTCATGTCCTTCTCTGCTCCAACCCTGGAGCCCTACTAAGCCCCTCCGCCCCCGGCCCCCACTCCTAATACACCCTGGGCCCAGCCTTTGTCTGTTGCTCTCCTCAGATTGCATCCCCTCTGCCTTCTTCTCTTGTCAAAGTCCTGCATTTCCCTTTAGGGCACAGCTTCCCTCTCCTCTTACACGTCCTTCTGACCCTGTCAGAATTGGCTGCTGCTCTTACTCCCGTGGAACTTTGTGTTCTTTTGTAGTCCTTATCACATTCCGCCCCGTGCTTATATTTAACTGCGCTCGTCTGTCTCTGAGCAGTATGAGCTCTTTGAGGTCAGCGGGCCGGGTCATTCTCATCTTTGTATTTCCCACAGTGCTTTATTTCTAGTAGGTACTCATTCATGGCATTACGCTTTATGTCATTATTTGTAGTAGCACAATAGTATTTATGCTAGTAGTTCTTGACTGACGTATTGCTTTGTATCTAGCCAGTAGGGCGCATCTGCTATTGATTATTATCCCATGTTTATTTTTGATGTGCCGTATTTTGCACTTCTTATTTTATTTAATCAACACAGCAGCCTGATGAGAAGGTCTTTCTCCACATTTTCCAGAATGTAGAAATAGCAGTGCAGAGGGGTAAGTGACATGCTCAAGATTCCCACTCATACATTTCAGACCTGGGTTTGGAACCTGTTTCCATTTAACTCCGGAAGTTTTGCCCTTGCGTAATGCTCCTTGGTATTTCGGGTGCTGCCTCAGTAAAAGCAACATCAGACATCTCAGCTCCTAACTGAAAGTGTTCAGGGCATAATGAAGTTGTTTGCCACCAGAATCTGATTTTATTATCAAAAGTATTAAAGTAACCGCTTGGTTGGCACAGAATCCACTTTGGTCTGAGTTCTGGCCACCAAAGCTTTCAGTAGAGGCTGGAGGCCATTGGCTTAGTATACAACCTGGAAGTGGTCTATTTCAGATGAACAAAAGCTATAGAAATATTAAAAGTGAGGACAGGCTGTTACTGGGTGATGGGAGCTCCCGATGACTCCATCTTAAAGCCTGGTTTTCTTTTGGAGAGGAACAAGCAGAAGACAGAACTTACACTGTGCTATTGGAGAAGTCTCTTGCCAGCCGCCTGCAGCCAGTCTAAAAAACTTACACTACATTGTTGTGTTTCTGCGTTAAGGCTGATAAGTCAGATATAAAGGTTGACCAAATTGTTAACACATGCTCTACTTACGGCTTTCAGAAAAAAATGAATCCTAATAACAGGTATGGCGTTTGGCCTGAATTGGGTGTCAGTAGTGATTGGTGGTTGGTTGTCACTTCTCTGAGTCACAGAGGTTGGGTGAGATGACTTCTCTCCTTTTCAGCTCCTGCAGCCTCACCAGTGAGCACTGTTTTCGTAACATTCCAGATTTACTTTCACAATTGCCGTTAGAAACGTGCCCCACCGTAGGAACTGTGAAGAGTGTGTTTTTGCAGCTGTAATTCAAAGAGCCGTACCTCTCCACCTGACCCTTCCTTCTCACACTCCCCACAGACGGAACCCTCTGCACTTCCACCTTATTGCTGACTCCATTGCGGAGCAGATCCTGGCCACGCTCTTCCAGACCTGGATGGTGCCCGCTGTGCGTGTGGACTTCTACAATGCAGACGAGCTCAAGGTATGGGCAGGAGGGGAGGCACTTCCGTGATCTCCTCTAGCTGGAAGCGTTATTACTTGTGGTTGAGCAGACTGTAGCAATGCCAGAAATCTCAGCTCCTAACTGAAAATGTGTAGGGCGTAAGGAAGTTGTTTGCCAGCAGAATCTGATTTTATTATCGAAGTATTAAAGTAACCCCTTTGAGTGCACAAAATCCACTTTGGTCTGTGAGTTTTGACCACCAAGGCTTTCTGGAGACGCTGGAGAGCATTGGCCTGGTGTATAATCTGAAAGTGGTCTATGGTAGCTGTCATCTAGAGAGTTCCATTACCCAGTGAAGTAAAGGCTGAACTCAGACCCCCATGGGCTGGGGTTTAAATTTGCCTGTTGTCACTTACTGATCAAAAGACACAAAGTAAACCACGCATCTCTGCTGGACCTGTTTTCTCATCAGTAGAAAAGGTGGATGAAATACCAAACTCATGGGGATAATTAAGAGGCTCAAATGAGAGAATATATTTGAATGTGCTTTAAAAAGACACTGCTGAATAAATATTAAAGGTTATGTCAGGCTGGAGGGGTTTCAACCAAATGAAACCTTTTTGGTCATCTCTTCCCCTTACAATTTTTTTGTGGTGCCATTTTGCTTGCATCGTGTTGAGACCCACAGCCCGATTAAGAAGTCCTGTATATTCTGGCTCTTGATTCTACTTCCAGTCTTGTCACTGGCATTCCCGTAAACCTTCGCTATTCCTTTAACTCTAAGTAGCAGAGCACACCTCTGGTTCCCTTTGCCCCCTCTTCTGTGTTTGAGTCTTTGCTTATTCTGTTCCTTCCATCTGATATTTCCTTCCCACCTATCTTGCCACAACTCCTGTTCGTACTTCAGGACTCAGCTGCAGTGCCAACTCCTCTTAAGAAACAGCCTGACTTCCACAGGAAAGAGGAAGACATTTTTTGTTCACTTGTCTGTCTACTGAACCTTTCTTAATGGGGTAGGAGGAGAGGAGCCGCATCTTATTCTTTTCTATATTTCTGGTGCATAGTAGGTACCCACTAATGCTTGTGGATTTAACAAATTGCTGTGATTAGAGGAACATGTAACTTTGCAGAAATGCACTGATGCTCTGTCTCTGATCACCTTGGGAAGGACTCAACACCTAAGCATGAGGCTGACTCTGGCAAATTGCTTGTTCCAAACCTCATAAAGCCATTATCTTTTCATTTTAGAGCCATAGCATTTTTAATAGATCACTGACATGCCAGCCAGAGTTTCTGATTTTCACATATTTCAGGCTCTGAGGTTGATGGAGATGTTCAGAATTTAGCATTTGGGGATTGTCTTGGTAATTTGCGTGCCATTCCCAATCTATTCTGAGCCTAAAATTGATTAACACTCTTAAAAAGGGAAAAACAAAATTTAGCAAATTGCTGCGCTAATTAAGGTGAAAGCAAGCCACTCTGTCTCCCAGGGTCTTAGCGCCAACACCATGGGGGAAAAGCAACATGGGAGGAGGAGCAGCAGCTGGTTCCGAAGGATGCCTCTGCCGCTGTGTTCACCATTTACCTTTCTTTGGGTAGGAGTCCAGTGCCATGTCCCCTGTGAGCCTGCACCCTTTACTTTGTAAGAAGACACCGAAGTGTGCTGGGCGTAGTGGCTCATGCCTGTAATCCCAGCACTTTAGGAGGCTGAGGTGGGGAGGATCACTTGAGCCCAGGAGTTTGAGACCAGCCTGGGAAACATAGTGAGACCCCCACCTCTACAAAAAAATTTTAAAAATTAGCCAAGTGTGACGGCACACACCTGTAGTCAGTCTAAGCTGCTCTGGAGGCTGAGGGCAGGGGGATCACTTGATCCCAGGAGTTCGAGACCAGCCTGGGAAACATAGTGAGATGCGTGTCTCTACAAAAAACTAGCTGGATGTGGTGACTGCACCTGTAGTCCCAGCTACTCTGGAGGCTGAAAAAGGAAGATCACTTGAGCCCAGGAGTTCAAGACTGCAGTGAGCTATGATCGTACCACTGTATGCCAGCCTGGGTGATAGAGCTGGCATGTGGTACAATTGTAGTGGTATGCATTATGATGTGGTACAATCACAGTGGTAAGATCATGGCTAAATGATTGTATCATTTTTTTTCCTCAAAAAAGAAAAAAAAACGGAAAAAAGAAAAAGAAAATACAAAGTGATTGGGAAAAAACTAATTTCAAATCCTGGTTTACCGCCGAAGAATTCTCTAACTGGTTTTGAACCTTGGTTCTCTCAGCTCTCAGATGGCTTGGGACTGAGTCAGCCACAAAGGAAGGGGTGAAATAAGATGGGTCAGTGTACACGACATGACAGCTTCTTAAAAATGCTTCATTCCACTTGTAGCCAAGGCCAGAATGACTTAAAATGCACTCGGGTGGTGTGGCCGGTTGTGAAGTCCATCAACAGCTAAGAAGTTGAAGGAGTAAGGTACCATGGACTGGAATTCCCTCCTGGAAGCCCCTTCCATGAGGTCTCGGATGAAAGGGGAGAAGGGGAGGAAACACTGATGCTCTGACTCTGTCAGGCCTACTTTAATCCAGGGAGACCAACTGTCTATTATTTTACGTGCTGGCTTTATATATATATACATCCGAAATAAATACTTCATGGCTTAAAAAATAATAATTTAGAAAATACAATCTGATACGTTCAAAAGAATATTGTCTCTAGAGTCCTGTCCTCTAACCCGATGTCTACTATCGAAGACTTCATCAAAGTTTCCTGACACCTGCTTTTTATTCCCCTACCAATTAACCACCTGTCTCTCTCACATTCCTGAATCCCATGAGAGTGTTGTCAGAATCCAGTACAACAGTATGAAAGTATTTATAAAACGTAATTTTTTCATAATACTAGTAACTGTGGTTCATGACAAAGCCAGGATGAAAACCCAGGCCTGTCTGACTCCATGATCTATTAGTCTGTCTATGTTTTAGTTTATACATAACCCGGATCAACAACCCCAAAGCCATGATCTGCCTACTCCACCAGCCTGACAGCCCCTCTGTAGTGGCATCACCATCTGCTTAGTTGCTGTTCTGGAACTGAGAGCTCATCTTTGTCCCTTTCTCTTGCCCTGGGTCTAACCACATCACACCCTAGCGTGGCTCCACCTCCCCTACACCTACCTAGTCCATGCTTTGTGATCTTTCCCCAGCACAATGGCAAGTGTTTTTCACACTAGTCTCTTCCTTCCACTGCTCACCTCTCCTCCCCCATATCTTTTCTCTCAGTAGCAAAAGTCAGCTTTCCAAAAACAAGCGCAGTCATGCCACTCTTTTCCTCTGGGTAAAACCTTTTCTGGTTTCCTACTGCTCTGAGCTAGAGGCCACAGTTTTTGTTTGTTTGTTTGTTTTGCAGACAGAGTCTTGCTCTGTCGCCCAGGCTGGAGTGCAGTGGCGTGATCTCGGCTCATTGCAACCTCCACCTCCTGGGTTCAAGTGATTCTTCTGCCTCGGCCTCCTGAGTAGAGTAGCTGGGACCATAGGCGTGCACTACCAGGCCCAGCTAATTTTTATATTTTTATTAAAGACGGGGTTTCACCAAGTTGGCCAGGTTGGTCTCGAACGCCTGACCTCAAGTGATCCATCTACCTCAGGTGATCTGCCTACCTCAGTCTCCCAAAGTGCTGGGATTACGGGCATGAGCCACTGCCCCCGGCTGAGGCCACAGTTCTTAACCGAGTCACATCTCTCTGCGGACGCTGGCTCCTGCCTCCTTCCAAGTTGTTCTTGCACCACTTGCGTCCTTCCTCACTCTCCAGTCCTGCAGATTCATTTTGCTCCTTCTTTCCCACCAGAGCGTTCTATTTATTAAACTGTTGCCCAACCTCCTTCCTTTCCCCCATTGCTAATGAATAACAAGTTCTTTTGCTAAAGTTACGTGTACTCAGGGAAACTTTCCCTGTCTTTATCATTTCATAGGGGTTGCTTTGTTACATGTTCTCCTAGAATCACATACATTTCTTCAGTAAACTCAACACAGAGGGTATTCTTTCATGCTTTTGTGTGATGAGCTAATAGATGTCTATCTCCTATACCGTAAGCTCCCAAACCAGGATCACGTCTGTTTTTCACCACCTTTGTATCCCAAAGGCCTGACGTGAGGCTTTTAAAGATGTTTGCTAAACATTTTTAAAAGAAGCTTTATAGATGTGTGCTAAAACTCATAAAGATGCTTGCTAAATGACTGGCTTATAAAGATGTTTACTGAATGACTGATACACAATGAATTTAGAGCTGGGTCCCTAAGAATAATAAAACCGATGGCAGAGTTTCTTTATCACGGTCAGGCCCAGGAATTCACGTTTCTTTATCACTGTAGAGCCCAGGGTCACCACATTCCTAATGCCTATTTGTGTCCCAGAGGCTTGTGTGGGTAGCCAGGAGTTTGCCCACCAGCCACCCTGAAGTCGCATAGATAAGGCAGCAACATTTGCACCAGCCCACCTCCTAAGAGCAGCTCTGGGACAGGTGAGTGAGTGTCTTTCCATGACAGGTATGCTAGGAAGGAAACACATTAAAACACCATCCAGTAGACGACCTTAGGGAAGGAGGAAGAACAGGAGAGAAATGGACTTGCGCCGTGTTCCACAGTTGCATTCAGGAAGCATGTCAGATGGTACCCTCAGCAGACACCCGTGACGGCCTCCCTTGATACAGCTCCAAGAAATCACTTTGTACAGCTGTTGGAAATGGCATTTCTCAGAAATGTTCCTGTGGGCCCCTTATGATATCTGTTAGTGCTGTAGAATGAAGTAATAGGAAACAGGACATTTGTGAGGGATTGGTGCATGATTAAAAACGAACTGTGGGAAATTCGCAGTGGACTGGTACACTTCTCTCTGTAATGACCAATTAGTGGGGATTTGCAAATAGTGATGGCTCAGCCTGCCTATCTCTATGGCCTGTGAAATGCTCATTGGTCTTCCCAATGTTTACATGGCCCATTTGTTTCCGGCCTCCAACTCCTGGTACCAACAGGCTACCAGGACTGAAGGTACCTCTGCTCTGAACTCCACTCACTCAAAACATGCAGCTCCTGTCTACAGGAGGAAAACTTATTTTTGCGTAGAGCTTTGTCAATGATGCGTGCTGTCACTCATCTCTCATGATGACCCTGGGGGTTGGAAAGATAAGTATGATTACCTCCACCTCACTTAAGTTAAAGTGTGGGGTTGAAGAGCATTTGCTTAAGATTAGACTGCTAACAAGTGCTGACGCTGATATTTGACTTTTCCCTTCCCAAAAGAAATGGTATGAGATAGAGGATTGTATAATTCAGTAGACATGGATGTAGTGGAGATCTTAAGGGAATTTGAAAGATATGGACCACAGCCCCTGGGGAATGACTGTTGGTTACCACTGTTGAGTTGCACTTGAATTCAAAATTCCTCTTTTCCATGGCTTTGGATCCCACAGGCTGTGGTCTAACATCTGTTGTTTAAGAATCACTTACTCAACCATTGTGGAAGACAGTGTGGCAATTCCTCAAGAATCTAGAACCAGAACTACCATTTGACTCAGCAATCCCATTACTGAGTATATACCCAAAGGATTATAAATCATTCTACTATAAAGACACATGCACATGTATGTTTATTGTGGCTCTATTCACAATAGCAAAGACTTGGAACCAACCCAAATGCCCATCAATGATAGACTGGATCAAGAAAATGTGGCACATAGACACCATGGAATACTATGCAGCCTTTAAAAAGGATAAGTTCATGTCCTTTGTAGGAACATGGATGAAGCTGGAAACCATCATTCTCAGCAAACTAACACAAGAACAGAAAACCAAGCTCTGTATGTTCTCACTCATAAGTGGGAGTTGAACAATGAGAACACATGGACACAGGGAAGGGAACATCACACACTGGGGCCTGTCAGGGGGTGGGGGCCTGGGGGAGGGATAGCATTAGGAAAAATACCTAATGTAGATGATGGGTTGATGGGTGCAGTAAACCACCATAGCACATGTATACCCATATAACAAAACTGTATGGTCTACACATGTATCCCATAACTTAAAGTATAATAATAAAGAATCATTTACTTCATTTCTCATGTTTTACATGGTTCTCTCATGGTCTGTTTCTCAACAACACCTCTATGGACTAGGTCCTGTTATTATTCCCATTGTACATACAAAGGAACTGAGGCATAGGGGAGTTAACTAACTACAAATCATGTAACCGGTACATGGCAGAGCCAGGATGAATATCCAGAACTGTCTGACTCCAGTATCTGTGCCCTTTCTCCTATGTCCTGTTTCCCTCTCTGTGGCTTATTTCAGCTAAGTTACTGTCATTGTGTCTAGACAAGGACTCTCTGAGCTTTTGATGGGGGCAGGTTCCTTCTCTGGGTGTTCCTGAAGAACCAGTATATTAAGCATGGCTCCTGCATGGAAGGCCTGCTGGGAATGGTACTTCCTGTAGGGGATGAAAGGGAGCCCTTCTAAGGATGCTGCTGAGGAGGGGGATGGCTCTGTCACTTCCATCCAAGGATCCTGTTCTAAACTAACAGTCATCACTCTAGACAGTTGGCTTTAAATCAGGAAAACATTTCTTGCCAGTTTTCAGACAAGGCCCTACATGTCTACCAGCCTTTGATCTTGCTCCAGCTGGCCCAGAAAGTCACCCCCATGCCATCACTGGGGTGCGCGTGATCCCGAGCTCAGGAAGGGAAGCGGCAGGGCAGTGGCTGTTTCATGATTCACCTGTCTAGCTGGGAGCCCTAATTTTTCTCCTTTTCTCTTAGACCCAATGCCCGCTTGTTACCAACATCAGAAAGATGATGAAGTGAGATTCAGGACTGTGGCTGCAGAAAATATTGATGGTGGACTCTAAAAACTGGCCTCCTACTCATCCTTAATTGCCTTTGTGCTGGTCTCTATGGAGGATGGCAGAGGTTGTCTTTAGAGAACTGTAATCTTCCAGCCCCCTGCCGTCCTTTAGGAGGCAGACTCATTGTTCCTGTCATGTAGGGGGTGGGTAAACTGCTGCTACCCTATCTGTTTCCTGGGAAGCTATGCTTCCTGAATACTGGACATTTTCTTCTGGGAGAGACTGAAGAGAGCATGAAATCATAGGATTCTAGGGTGGGAAGAAGGCTTAATACTTACAAGTTTTTTTTTTTTTTTTTTTTCATGAATTAGGCCAAGAAGTGCAACTGAATTGCCCAACAAGAGATCACATATGTTTCTTTCTAACATATAGCTTTTCCCAGAATGGGATCTGGGTTTTCTGGCTGCTGGGCCTGGTTTATAGTTCAGTGGGGACCACACTTAACAATGGTTGAACTTCAGGTGCTGTGACGAAATGCTCTCATAAGGCTGGAGCAGCTCCAGTGAAGCTGGACCTGCAGAAGAAAGAGAGAAGACATAGATATGTCTCATGGAAGGGCATTATCTGCTCTGGGATGTCCTGCAGAAACATGAGAAATGAAGTAAGGTGTGTGTGGCCTTCTGAATCCCCCAGTTCACTAATAATGTGTTAATACCCAGAGCAATGGACAGAGGTGAATAAATAGCCTATCAAAATGGGTATTTCTGGCTCTCCTTTATTGGTGAAGATTGATTGCAGTTAAATGAGAACTTGTAATGGAAAGCAATGCTTGGCACATAATAGGCACTCAACAAATCTTGCTTTCTTCTTTTTGTTCCTAATGTGGCTGCCTTTCATATATTTAAAGATGACTGTAATTAACTTCTTAAATCTTTTCTAAGCCCACCATGTCAACCCTTCCTCTTCTCCTCCAACAATGACTGCCGACCTGTCATCAGAGGGTCTACATTTTGGCTTATTTTTCTAGAATAGTTGATGGATGTATGCTCTTCTTCCTTCTTTCCTTTGTGGTCCTGTGTTATTCGGCAGGGTGACAGAGGTTAAATATTATGCGCAGGTCTGGAAAAATTACCACTTTCCCATTTTCTTTATTGTTTTATTGGTTCTTGGATTATCTGTGTGGTTTCTGAATACGAAGGCTGGTTCTGCAAGGTCAGCAGTGTACCTCTGGCCTCTGTCATGGGCTTTTCTGTCTCACACAATGAGGGCAAGATCACAGAATGGACATGGAAAAGCATAAAGCACTTGAAAGCATACCTTTGTGTATTTATAAGACTGATGTTTGACTGTGAAATGTTGGACATAGAAAATTTTAGACAATGAATGCAAACTCTAATCTGCATTATAAAATAATCTTTTTATGTCATTTGTTCAATTCACTTTTTACACAGGCAGATTTTTCTTTATTTAACAGTCTTCTAATGAATGGTTCTTGTCCCCTTTTGAGAAGCATAGAATCTTAATTAGAAAGGAACTTGGCAGTCATCTAGCATAACCTTCCACTTTCTTCTATAATATTCTATACAAATGGTCATTAATCTTCTGCTTTTGAATACTTCCAGAGATAAGAGATCATTACCTCCCAAAGGACCCTGTTCCATATTTAGAAACTCTATTAGAAATATTCGCCTTATGCCTTACTGAAATCTTCATCTTTTTCATTCTCCTCATTGGTCCACCTGAGCATTAATGAAGATCAGGTGCAAGCCTGTGTACCATTTGTCTGTTCCCTCATCTGCCTTCTCTACTAGACAGAGGGAACCTAGAGGGCAAGGTCTGTAACATTTATGTTCATGCCCAGCCTTTGGCATGGGCATGGCCAGATTTGGACAAAATCTGGCCAATCCTGGCCTCCAGCAAATACCTGGCTTCTATGTTTTGAGCTACACAGTGTGCATCAACCAGTTGTTTGAAGACCTGACACATTTACTGAGTCCTCTCTTCTTCTCAGTAATCACTACTACATTTCTTCAACTGTACCTGAAATGACAGTGTATGGAGCCTAGGTGACAGTTGACCCTTAAAACATGTCTTCTGACCTGCTTGTGGAATAAATGCCTTCCAGGTTGCTGACTTGCTTAAATGTGCTCCCCATTGTGTCTCCATCCCATAGACAGAGACATTCTCTGTGGTTCTGCAAATCACAGCACTTGGTCTAGATCTGCATATGTGACATGCCCCACCTTGAGCTACAGTTGGTCTGAGCTCAGAGTCTTAAACTCATTTAAAAGCAGTGAAGTGTCCCAACTCACCTTTTTTCTCATCCTGAGCATTGTTTCCTTCTCATTCTTATTTATTGTGGTCTTCTCATTCATACTTCATTTAACTGATAAGGAAATGCTTTATCTGTATCAAAACATCTCTTGTACCCCATAAATATATACACCTACTATGTACCCACAAAAAATAAAAATTAAAAAAAAGAGAGAGAAGTGCTTTCATATACCTACTTTCATTCTGTCCTCCCAAGAACTCCATGCCACAGAGAGGACATGTGTTTTATTATGTTTTATTTCTAAGGAATTTGCCAAAAGAATTAACCAAATGCTGCTAAAGAGAGCAGCATTTGGATGGAGCGGATGCCAGAATCTCGTTCTTGTGAGCCTTCCCTGCAGTGCTATCTCATGCACCACAAGTCTTACCTACCAGAAACTTCTGTTAAGAAACAACTTCAGCGGGGTATGGTGGCTCAAGCCTGTAATACCAGCACTTTGGGAGGCTGAGGCAGGTGGACCACCTAAGGTCAGGAGTTCGAGACCAGCCTGGCCAACATGGTGAAACTCTGTCTCTACTAAAAATGCAAAAATTAGCCGGGCATGGTGGTGGGTGCCTGTAATCCCAGCTACTTGGGAGGCCAAGGCAGGAGAATCGCTTGAACCCAGGAGGCGGAGGTTGCAGTGAGCTGAGATTGCGCCATTGCACTCCAGGCTGGGCGACAAGAGCAAAACTCCATCTAAAAAACAAAAACAAAAAACTTCATTGATTCAAGAGTGTGGTTATAATGACGGAGTTGGGATCAAAACAAGAAAGACCAGAGGTGTTTGACAAATAATGAGAAAGCAATGGGCAGGGTAAACTGGAAATTATGATGAGGTTAGGAAATTTGCACTGAGCACAGAGTCTTTGTCCAAATGTTATGAAAGGATAAAAGGCTAGAGTTGAGGAGTGAGATGTTAGAGATTTGGTATTTTCGATGAGGCCCTTTTTGGGGTTCTTTTTTTGGCATGTTAGCCTGGGATTGAGTGGCTGAGGTGTTGTTGGAAAAAGTTAATGAAAACTATGGGCTCTAGATACTGCAAGGCCCAGGGTGTTGGCTGCTTCATCCCTAGGATGATGAAACTCAAGGAAAATTGTCAAGCACCAAAAGGAATTGTATACCTGCAGATCAAAAGGAGCCTCGACAACTAAGGTAAAATCAGTGATAAGTTGCCCACATTAGTGTACACCCTAGAAAATTATTTGAATTGCAAGGATTAAAACACAATCCTTCTTTTAGGAATAGTAATTCCCATTATTAAGAGTTGATTATTTGCCAACCTAATATGCTTAACTTGCATAATCTTCTTTTATCCCTACCATTTCCTGGCGAGGAAACTGAAGCTTAGGAAAGAGACTTGTTCAGATTACTCAGCGAATGCATTGTGGAACCAAAACATGAATTTTGGGTAGTCTGACTCTTGAGCAGCGCTACCCGATGGAAATAAAACAGCAACTCATCTGTGTGATTTTAAATTTTCCAGTAGTCACATTCTGAAAAGCAAAATAGAACCAGTGCAATACATTTTAATAATACATCTCATTTAATTTTATTTATCCAAAATAGTATCGTTTCAACCTGAGATCAGTATTTTGAGAATTACTGAGATATTTTACAGATTGTAAATATTAAGTCTTTGAAATCTGGTATATATTTTGAACGTCTCACTTTGGACTTGCGTATTTTAAGTGCTCAGTAACACATATGGTTGTTGATGGCTGTGGACAAGGTATGGAACTTGGCTTTTAACACTACGTGGTAATACCAGGGCAGAGGGTGGAGACAAGCTTATTATCTTGGAAGAATAAAAATCCCGCCTCAGCTTCTGTGCTGTGAGAGTAGGTGTCCAAATAAAATGTCTGCAGAGTTTTGAGCAAAATAGACAGAGACCCAAGAATACCAACCAAGTTCTCTCATGTTAATAAGGCAACAGAAAAAAAATGATAGGCTTTGCAGGAACTCAGAAAATATACACCAATAGGCCAGGTGCAGTGGCTCACGCCTGTAATCCCAGCACTTTGGGAGGCTGAGGTGGGTGGATCACTTGAGCCCAGGAGTTCGAGACCCACCTGGGCAACATGGCGAAACCCCGTCTCTACCAAGAAAATCCACAAATTAGCCAGTCTCATAACCTGGTCTCAAAATAAATAAATAGACTTAAAAAAATTTTAAAAACAGAAAAAAGGCTGGGCGCTGTGGCTCACGCCTGTAATCCCAGCACTTTGGGAGGCCGAGGTGGGCGGATCACAAGGTCAAGAGATTGAGACCATCCTGGCTAACACGGTGAAACCCCGTCTCTACTAAAAATACAAAAAATTAGCCGGATGTGGTGGTGGGCACCTCTAGTCCCAGCTACTCGGGAGGCTGAGGCAGGAGAATGGCGTGAACCTGGGAGGCAGAGCTTGCAGTGAGCCAAGGTCACGCCACTGCACTCCAGCCTGGGTGACAGAGCAAGCTCCGTCTCAAAAAATACACACACACAAACAAACAAACAAAAACAGAAAAAAAAAGAAAATATACACAAGTGTATTGTTCTTGAAGAAACTATAGCTTCTTTGCAAGCCACCCAAAAAAGTGATCAAAATGAATATTCAGGAATGAAAAGGTATTGTTATAAAGGGGCAGACAGTGTGTACAGAGTTACACATAGAGTGATATGTAAATAATTGTTTTAAGTCAGTTGCAAGGCTGATTGCAAATGCCGAAAAGTATTTGTCTTCAGAACATACGCAAATAATAAGCTGATCACAGCCATTTTAAAACACACTGGAGAGTATGAGTTGGGTTTAAAAGCTGTTAAATATAGTGGATTTTGTGGGGTAACTTAGGTGGTATCTTTTAACTCTTTACTTTGATTATCCTGGAAAAAAGGGTAAGGTGTTTCTGCAAAGCTCAGACATGACCCCAATGAAATAAGTAGAATTAGATCTAATTTATTAGTGATGATTATTTCAAATGAAATAAAGCCTAAGTAAGAAGCAAAGAAGATGAGACAGAAAAAAATAATAATAATAATAAAATGAACTATTAGATAGCCACATGGGAAAAAATTAATCTTGCTCCTCACTTCATTCCACATACAAAAATTAACTTGAAATGAATCTTAACACCTAAATATGGGAGCTAAATCTGTAGAACTTATAGAGGAAAACAAAGAAAATTATAGGGACTTCAAGTTGGGCAAAGATTTCCTCCCTCCCTCCCTCCCTCTGTCCCCCTTCCCTCCCCTCCCCTCCCCTCCTCTCTCCTCCCCTCCCTTCTCCTCTCCTCTTTCTTTTTTTCCTTTCTTTTCTTTCTTTCTCTGGGTCTCCCTTTGTCACCCAGGCTGAAGTGCAGTGGCAGAATCATAGCTCACTGCAGCCTCAAATACCTGGGCTCAAGCAATCCTCCTGCCTCATCCTCTAGAGTAGCTGGGACTACAGGCACATGCTATCACGCCTGGCTAATTTAAAAAAAAAAAAAAATTTTTTTTTTTTTTTTGGAGAGACGGGTCTTGCTATATTGCCCGTGTTGATCTTGAACTCCTGGCCCAAGCAGTCCTGCTACCTCGGCCTCCCAAAGTGTTGGGATTACAGGTGTGAGCCACCATGCCTGGCAGAGAGATTTCTTAAATAAGACATAAAAAGCACACACTAAATAAGAAAAAAATTGATAAATTGGACTTCATCGAAGTTGAGGATTTTTGTTCTTGCAAAGACATTAATAAGAAACTATAAGGATAAGCTACAGACTGAAAGAAAGAATTTGCCAAGCATCTATCTGATGAAAGATTTGTATCTGGGATATATGGAGAGGTCTTACACCAATAATAAGAAAACAACCCAATTTAGAAATGAGCAACATATTTTAAGAGACATGTCAGCCAAGGAGAGATGGAGTGGCCAATGAATCCCTGAAAAATGCAAATCAATAATGACATCATTAGTCATCAGGGAAATGCAAATTAAAGACCATCCTGAGATACCACTTCACACCCACTACAATGGCTAAGATTAAAAGGACTCACAATACAAAGTGTCAGTGAGGATGTGGAACAGCTGCAACTCTCTGACATCACTGATGGAAGTGAAAAATGGTATACCACTTCAGAAAACAGCTTGGTAGCTTTTTTGTTTGTTTGTTTGAGGCAGAGTCTCACTCTTTGCCCAGGCTGGAGTGCAGTGGCCCCATCTTGGCTCACTGCAACCTCCGCCTCGCGGGTTCAAGCGATTCTTCTGCCTCAGCCTCCCGAATAGCTGGAATTACAGGCACCCACCACCACGCCCAGCTAATTTCTGTATTTTTAGTAGAGACGGGGTTTTGCCATATTGGCCCGGCTGATCTCAAACTCCTGACCTCGTGATCCACCCGCCTCAGCCTCCCAAAGTGCTGGGATTACAGGTGTGAGCCACCACGCCCGGCCTTGGCAGCTTTTTAAAATATTAAACATAACTCACAATATGACCTAGTGGTTCCACTCCTAGGTGTTCAACCAAGAGAAATAAAACCTATGTCCACTGGAAAACTTGTATGTGGATATTCGTGGCAGCTTTATTCATAGGACTTCACTGACTGTCAGCTGAAGAACTGGTAAACAGCTGTGGTATGTCTCAGCAGTGGGAAGGAATGAACTGACGGCACATACAGCAATGCCAGTGAGAAGGTTTGATGTTAAGTGAAAGAAAGCCAGACCGAAAGACTGCATGGTAAATGGTTCCATTGATGTGACATTCTTGAAAGCAAGACAGAGTTAATAGGAGCCAGAGGGTGGTGTGGTGGGACTGCCTAGCAAGGGACACCAGGGCATTTTCGAGGGCGATCAAATTGTTTTATAAAGTGACTGCTGTGGTTGTTGCAAACTGTATACATTTATTAAATTGAACTGTACGTTTAAAAGAGGTGAATTGTGATGATGTAAGATTTTTTTCTCGAAGAATGCATAAACATACTATCACAGAAGTAAAATCAAACATCAATTACTTTAATAAACGTAAATGCTTTAAACTCTTCCATTACTGGATAACAACTTTAATTCTTGGTTAAATAGCAATATGGTGTGAGTGTGTTAATTTTAGACTAAATCAAATACAATAAAATATATTTAATTAGGTACAACTAATAATTTTAAATTGGTAAGTTTAATACCCATAAGAGGATAGAATAGCCGAGTTATTTTCCAAGTAGAAAACTTCCAGATATACTAAGCACAAAACAAAAATTGATAGAAATATATGTTGGGAGAGCTTTGGCCACAGAAAAGAAAGATGAATCATCTTGTTAATGACAGAAATGATTTTTAAAACATAATATCAGTAGTTATTGAACTGCCTATCATATGGAATAAAAATGAGTGAAGTGTTCATCAAAAAAATTACACAAATGATAGATACCATAAAAATTACACAGGCCCTACTCTTGACCACAGTGCAGCGGAACTACATATCAGAAACAAACTATTAAATGGGAAATTCAAACTTCTTGGAAACTAGAGGAGGGTAAAGATTCTTCCTAAATGCTATTTAATCCAAAAGGATATAAAAACTAAAATTATAGTCTGTTTTGGTATCAACAGAAGAGGAACATTTCATAGTAAAGTTTATGGAATGTGGCCAAAGCTGTCACTGGAGATATTTTAATAGCCTCCACTTCTTTCATTATTCAAAAACAAAGGTAATGATAAATGAATCTTGCATTTCATGCAGTAATTGAAATATGAACAATGGTGTGTCCCTAAGGAAAGCAGAAGGGAAGTGGAGTTCACAGCAGAATTCTGTGAAGTAAGAAAAATAATAAACAGAAAAGTAAACAAATATTAATTTTCATTAATTTAAATTAATGAAAATATTAATTTTTAATTAATTAATTTCCATATATAAGAAGATGGCAAACCTCTGGTAAATTTAATAAAACAATGGAGGAAATATTAATAAACAGAACAATGAGTAAAGGTATACAACAATATAAATTTGCAAAATGGTAATCAAAATCAATAGCCAACATTTACTTGTCACTTATCATGTATCAGACATAGTACTAAACATTTAGTGTTATCTCATTGAAATCTCATGACAGATCCTTGAAATTAGTGCTGTGATAATCTTTTACAGAGGAGGAACCTGAGAGTAGAGGCAGCTAGACCAAGACTTCTTAGCTGTGGAGTGGTGGAAACAAGAATTGAGCCCTGCAGCCTAGCCGTGGGCCCTAGCCTTTCCTCCTCACTTACTACAGTTGAACTCTATGGGAAATTCCATGCAGATTTATGAAAGCCTGGAGGTGTAATGTTGTGTTTGCCTGGAAGCAGATTTGCATTTATTGCGGCTAGTTGCCTGAGGCCCTGTCAGTCCTAATCACTTTGAATTAAATTCTGCATTTGAGGTCTGTCAGACACCAGATAGCTTGAGTCCAGACAACACACCACTGTGTGATCCATCTTGAGGGTGCTAATTCTCAGGGAAGGCCTCCCACCCCCACTTTAGTAGTCATCCAGATAAAAATCAGTGTGTTTTCTGTTCCTCCCTTCTGTGTGTGGGGGTTTGTTTCTAAATCACCTTTATACTAAGAGTGTAGGATTCGGGTCCTAACTTCATGCAAAGGTTCTCTCTCTGACTCCCTCTTAAGCCAGGCCATGGGCCTCATCTTCTCCCTCCTGCACCCTCACAGCAGTGAAAGCAGAAGGTCAAGAGCCATTCCCCTCAAAGCAATACTGAGTTTCAGGGATTACTTATATTCTAATTTTCCAACTTGGACTTGCTTTTCATTTTTGTATTTTTGCTGTGATGCCAACTTAAGTTTTATATGCGTGCGTGCGCACACACACACACACACACACACACGCACACATATATGTTCCTTGTTAACTTTTCAAAATGTTTTCACTGTGAGGGTTTTGAGGTTGTCTAGTTCACTATGTTACCTGAAATAGGAATCTCCCTTCCTCATCTTTCTTCTAGAGCTCAGTTAGCATCTCAAGGAAAGTGTTCTGGGCCTGGCATTCTGTTCAAATTTGGGTTCCCCTTCTATAGGTTATCTTTCCACCTGTTACTTCATTTTTTATGACATTGATCCTTGTGTACTTATTTGTTAAATACCTTTGATGCATGGGTATTGGTGGATGTATGTCTCACTTGCCACTGCAGTGTGGAGCCTACGTGGATGGACCCCTCGGCTCTTCTTTCTGCTTCCCAATTCTTAGCATGTGCTTGCTCATAGTTGGCTCTAACCAGGTGTTTGAATGAAGAAGTCTTGGTAAGAATTTTGAGGCTGTTTCATTCAGCACGGAGGATTCCCAGTAACGTTATTTTATCTGCCGTGAACATAAAAAGAGAAGGCCGATAACTTAAGTTCTGGGTATCCATGGTCTCTTGCTCAAGAAAGAATTTCCAACCTGTAGAGAATGAATGGATTTTCCAACAAAAGGCATTAATGTGATTGAGGATTTGGGAAGTGATCAAATAAGATATCACCAGATTAAAAAAATAAATTTTGTATTGATTGAAAGCTTGAATTTAAAAACAGAAACATTAAACAAAACTAGAAGAAAAATATGAAAATGTTGGTCTAAGAATGAGGAAGGTTTCTGTGTGCCTAAGGAAAATGAAAAAAAAAAAATCTTAAAGGAAAACTCCAGTAGATTTGATTAATTGCAATGGAAAAAATCAAGGGGAAAATTCTGAATAAACTGAAACAAAATTAAAGGACAAGTAATAAATTGGAAAAATTGTACTTGAAACAGATACAGCATGTAATACATAAGGAGCTGTTGCAGATAAATAGGAAATACAGACTCGCAGAAAAATGGGTAAAGAATAAGAATAAGGGAACTCGCAAAAAAATGCAAATGGTAAAAATATACAAATATATTCAAAGAAAGAAGAAAATAAGATTTTATATAGGAGTCTTTAAAAATTTTTATTACTTATTAATGGGAAGTATCTATGAGGGCCAACCCTTCTTAAATTGTCTATTGTAAGTCAACATCAGAATACCCTTTTTGGATATTTTGGCAATATCAAGATTCTTAAAAATTATATACAGGTTCTGTGAGGCAGAAATTCTTTGCTCCAAGGAAATAAAGGTGGAATCAAAGGATTTTCATCATGGTATTGTTTGTTTGCAATAGTAAATCTTAGACACAACCTAAATCCCAACATTCATGAAAGGTTAGGTAAAGTATGGTACATCGTTGAAATAAGATAGTTGAAGCTTTTCCAAATCATTTTTAAATAACATTTTATTGATTTAATAGCAACGTTGAATGTTGCTTCAATAAGTGGAAAGGGAAATGCTCATGATGTAATATTAAGTTTAAAATAAGACACAAAACTAGTTCTCTTCAAAGTTTAAAGATGTCTGTGTAGTTATATAATTATTTACAAAGGCAGATCATATGACAGTGTTTAATATGTTACCTCTGGGTACATGTATTCTAGTTTTCTCGTTTTCATTGCATTTTGCAGACTTTCTGTAGTAGCACAATTTTTAAAACTATATTTTTCTCTCGACTGTGAAAGGAGCAGAGGGAGGGAAGGAAAGAGAAGGTAATTAATGACTTCACATAGATAATGGGAATAGTAACCTTGTTGTTCTCAGCTGGGCGCGGTGGCTCACGCCTGTAATCCCAGCACTTCGGGAGGCTGAGGCGGACGGATCATGAGGTCAGGAGATCGAGACCATCCTGGCTAACATGGTGAAACCCCATCTCTACTAAAAATACAAAAAATTAGCCAGGCGTGGTGGTGGGCGCCTGTAGTCCCAGCTACTTGGGAGGCTGAGGCAGGAGAATGGCGTGAACCCAGGAGGCGGAGCTTGCCGTGAGCCGAGAGATCGTGCCACTGCACTCCAGCCTGGGCGACAGAGCAAGACTCCGTCTGAAAAAAAAAAAAAAAAAGAAATCTTGTTGTTCTCCCTGTTTGGGGGCAGCATGGCGTATTCACAGGTGTAAGGGTGCAGCATACCATGGGGTTTGGCTCACCTGCATATGACTTGTGACTATCATGGGTGTCATTGTCTCTGTAAGAAGGACTTGCAAGGGATAATCCAGGTAGAAGAGCACCCACAAACTTATAGAGGCTTTGTGTGCATGCGAGCGCCTACCCTTTTTACTTAGGTCATTTTGGAGGTGTCTTTTGGGAACACGTAAAGAGTAACATCAGGTTTTCCAAGCCAGCTGGTTTCCCTGTGCTACGGAAAAAAATGAAAACTCAACTGGCAGTCCATCCATCTTAATCCTGAAGGAACTGGGACCTTCCCCACTTACTTAACTAGGTGACTCAGAAAATCCTAACGTGATCCAACCCAAACTCCAAACTGGCTAACTTAGAAGTAACAGATGAAAAAGAGAGAGTGGGCCGGGTGCAGTGGCTCACACCTGTAATCCCAGCACTTCGGGAGGCCGAGGCAGGTGGATCGTTTGAGGTCGGGAGTTTGAGACCAGCCTGGCCAACATGGTGAAACCCTGTCTCTACTAAAAATACAAAAATTAGCCGGGCGTGGTGAGCATAAAGGAACCTAATGGGGAGAGGTCACGAAAGACTCACTTTACATCCCTTTGTGCAGCTACAGTGATTCCTCCCTGCATTACCTGTGTGATCAGTTTCCTGATCTTTTATGTTGTGATCTAATATATAACCTGAGTAAAGTGCCTTAAACAATCTACTAATTTTGTGTCAAATATCAAGAAGCCCTTCGATTGGCAGTTCCAAGAGTGGTGGTTATTATCTTGGGAATTTTCGTGGGCTCCTCATGGTGGAGGGGTGAGAATAAATCCAGAAATCTGCTGCCTACAGGACTGTAGATGGGAAGAGGGAAGGCAACCTTATTCTCATATGCACTCTGTCTCTCATTACCAAACAGGGAATCTTCTCCCCCAGATTTCCTAGGAGACTTTGCTTCATGTACATTGGCCAAGATGGTGTCTCAGGCCCATGACCTGTCTTCAGGGAAGACTGAAAAAGTGATGATTCTTTGTGTCTTTGCCTGTGTGTGCGTTTCTATGTGTGTCTCAGTGTGTGTGTCTGTGTGTTTTCAGCCTTCTCAGTAGGGAATCTGAAGTGTAGCTCTCTGGATAGGCAACCAAAAGAATCTCCCCCGTCTCCTTTGTAGGTTTGCTGTGAGAAGAAAATGCTTATCTCAGAAGCAGGAATAATTAATGTATATAAGTGAGTTTCTCTCTCCTCTCACACTCCTTTTTCTGTGGTGTTTGTTTGTTTGTTTTGTTTGTTTTTTATTGAGACGAAGTCTTGCTGTGTCACCCAGGCTGGAATGCAGTGGTGCGATCTCGGCTCACTGCAACCTCCACCTCCCAGATTCAAGCTATTCTCATGCCTCAGCCTCTGGAGCAGCTGGGATTACAGGCGCGCATCACCATGCCTGGCTAATTTTTGTATTTTTAGTAGAGACAGGGTTTCACCATGTTGGCCAGGCTGGTCTCAAACTCCCGACCTCAAGTGATCTGCCAGCCTCAGCCTCCCAAAATGCTGGGATTACAGGCGTGAGCCAATGCGCCCAGCCCACTTTCTCTTTTTCATCTGTGACTTCTAAGCCAGTTTGGAGTTTGGGTTGGATCATGTTAGGATTTTCCGAGACACCCAGTACGTATGTGGGGAAAGTCCTGCTTCCTTCAAGATTAAGATGGATGGACTGCCAGCTGAGTTTTCATTTTTTTTTTTTCAGTAGCACAGGGAAACCAGCTGGCTTGGAAAACCTGATGTTAACTCTATTTAATAGGTAGCTGAATTCTCATCTGATTAGGAGGAAACAACTCAGGTCTGTACCTAGATACAAATCAGTCAGTGGATAAGGATTTGCTGAATGCACACTGTTCCAGAATACAGATGAGGAAAAGCTCATGTCTTCTCCAAGAATTTAGTGAAAACTAATGAAATAGGGAAGAGTGTAGTACCAATCAGCTACCAGCTGGATAGTCAGGGATGACTTCACAGAAAAAGGGGAACCCTGAGCCGAGCCTTGGGGGCCACTGTGATTTCCAGGAGTCGGGGGGAAGTGTGGTGTTCCCATGCTAGGTACATCATTGTCGAGAACACAGAAGCTTTGAGGAGGAGGTGAAGAGGAGGCGTAAGAGCATTTTATCTTGCTCTTTGAGTTAATGACAGGCTTTCGTTGCCCAAAGAAGAGAATACTTTTTCCCAAGCAAAACTCCTTTACCTGCTTTTTATCTGCTCAGCTTAGCTATAAAAGTTAATACTCTTATTAAACTTTTTCTATTAGAAAGGAAAGAAATGCACTTCTTTTCTCTGCCTGACACTTCCTTCTCTTTTTCACTTATGAAGGGCATACCTTTTTGATAATTGAGGAAACTAATAAACCAGATCTCAAACTAACATCCAGGACTGGTCAGGATGCCCACAGCGGGGAAAGTTGGGCCAATTTTTATTTCTGAGGTTTCAGTATCAGTATAGTCAGTATGTCCACATTTTGATTAAAAGAAAGCAAATAAATGGAATGCCTATATATGTGTCTTGGAAAGTGCTAAGGGAGCTTCCAAGGTAAAAATAGTAACTATCTATCACAAAGTGTGTTCTTATGGGGGAGATATGTGTGTACTGAAGTGCATTACTGAAGGGATGGACAAGGCGAGGGAAGCACACTTCATACTGGATGGGGGGGACCCAACTGTCCTTATATTTGGAAAATTGAACTTTCATTTTATAGTGTACAGATTCCATTTTAAAATCAATGTCCCTGACCTATTCAGTGGGCTCAGGGGCAGAAGATGGAGCTGAATGGGATAGGCGTTGTTAAATTTCTTTCCGAGGTTCTAATTTTCTTATTTATCGGGTAACTTGCAACAGGTTGCCAGCTATATACCTTGAGAGGCATTGATTGCTACTAAGTCCAAAACCCTGACCTTAAGGTTTTCAAGTCCAGTGACCTAGTGACAATATGGATCCTGAGGGCAGGAATCTTGGTAGATGAGTAGAAAATCAAGAGATAAAATTGATTTATTTTCTCCAGACTTAATATTTTGCCCTGTGATGGTTCTCAAAAAGAAGGTGTTTTGGTGAAAAACTACCTCCATGCACTGCCTTCATCCTGTGGAGGTGACTGCATTGAGAGGCAGATTCATTTTTACAGCTGACTTGACAGGGAGGGTTTGACATGGTGGCTGTGACAGAAAGGTAGATCTGGGATGTGGGGGAGATGGATCATGTCTAGCTCCTAGAATTCTGGAACAAGCTGGTGGGTGCATGGTGGTAGGAAGATGGAGAAAACTGAGGAAGGATTGAGCTTTAGCAGGAAGAGCAAGAGTCCTATTTGTCATCTAGACAGGGTATAATATATGTGACTGGAACTGTCCAAGGTAGACATGTGCTCATACTTAATGTGGTTTGTTTCCCCTGAATAATAACATAGTACAGTATCCGCAGGGGGCACAAATGCCCATTCTTTAAGCATCCTGCAAAGAGGTGTTCCTGGTTGAAAGCACAGCCAGGTACACCTTGGAGCTACTATCTAGCAGAAGGAATTCACTCTCCTCTTCTTTTTGTACAAGACAAGCATGAGGATGCTCTTGACCTAATGAAGTTAACATTTGGGCTCAGATGCCAAGAGTCTGAACTTTGGTGGAAGTATTCAGGGGAATGCTGAGTAACATCAGCTGTCCAGCACCTGGAGCTTGGAGCCCTTGGTTCAGTGTGAAGTTGGGTTTTGGATGAGGCGTACCTGCTGGGTGACCAGGGTGCCTAGGTACAGTGGAAAGGCGTAATCCCTCTTGTTGAGAGAATGGCAGCCAATGGCTAGTTCATTGCCTTCAGCCAAGAGAGATGTCCCTGAATCAGTCACTGGACAATCTTGCTTATCTAAACTTTATATTCTTTCATGTATAAGTCTCATTCAATTCTCTTATATGTAGTGGTTAAAGAGTTGTCACTTTTCTTTCTTTAAGGATTCTGAGGACTTCAAACTCATCTTTTTTTTTTTCCTCTTTCAAGGTCTTTCCTACTTCCAGATAATGCAATGTTTTCCATTAGGTCAAAACTTAGACAAAATGTGTACTCTCCTGTACCAGGACAAAGACTTTTCATCCACATCCATTTTTTTCTGAGTTTCAGCTGGTACTTCTGAGCAAGGTGCCTCAACCTTAGCACTCATGATGTTCTGGGCCAGATAGTTTTTTGTTGCGGGGGCTGTCCTGTCTGAGGATGTTGAGTGGCATTCCTTGCCTCTGCCCCCTGGATCCAGTAGCACCCCAGTGCCCAAGTCATGACAACCAAAAGTGTCTCCAAGTATTGCCAGGGGTCCTTTGGGGGCAAAATTGCCCTTCATATTAGAAACTGACACAATTGGGGTGACCCCACGCTCTAGGCAGGTGCTGACTGTGAAGGTGATGGGATAGAAAATGGAAGTACTAAAGTCAGAGGCCAGTCCAATGGATTTGTGTCATTTTATTCCCAGCCATGTGAAGCTTTAAGATGTATCTATCACTTGGTGACCCCATGGTGATGTCCATTCATTACTCTCTTTCCTCATTTGGGACACTGATGGGTCAGATTCTTTTTTTTTTTTTTTTTTTTGAGACGGAGTTTCACTCTGTCACCCAGACTGGAGTGCAATGGCACAATCTCGGCTCACTGCAACCTCTGCCTCCTGGGTTCAAGCAATTCTCCTGCCTCAGCTTCCTGAGTAGCTGGGATTACAGGCACGTGCCACCACCCCCGGCTAATTTTTGTATTTTTAGTAGAGATGGGGTTTCACCATGTTGGTCAGGCTGGTCTTGAGCTCTTGACCTCGTGATCTGCCCACCTCAGCCTCCCAAAGTGCTGGGATTACAGATTTGAGCCACCGTGCCCAGTCAGATTCTCTCTGTCTTCTAACTGAAGCATGGAAAACAAGCCAGGTCAACAAAATAACTTTATTTATTTCTAAACAAAGTTACTTTGGATAGGAAACTTGGAAACATTTCAAGTTTTCATCCCTGGTTGTACCATTTCACCAAGCTGATTTTAGGAAAAGGTGCACAAAGGTATCAAAATGTGAATTTTCTTGCTGAGAACAGTACGTGATGCTTCACAGTCTCTTAATTCCATCTGTTTCCCATGATAAAGTTCCAGCATTAGGTACTGGTGTTAGAAGGCCCTCCACATTATGACAGTGATTTTCCTGAAGGTCAGAAGGGGCAAATTTTAACTCTCCCACTTACTAGCAGTGCAATTTGAGACAATGATGTTTCTAAGTCTTAGTTTCCTATGTGTAAAATAGAGGTATGAATCCCTTACTTGCTTAATTCACAAACTTATTTCAAGCATCCAATGAAATAATAGATGGAAAATTTCATTGAAAATGAGAAAATGCTGCACATGCATTCTTATTACTTTTGTCATCATCATCATCATTCCTATTATCATTTTTGAAAGATGGACGTCTTACAAACTGACCGGTTATGTATGCTTTTGTATACTCAACTCCCTTGGCTAAAAACTCATCTAACTAGAATATTTTCATTGGATTTAACCACTCAGCCAGGCTGAATTCAAGAACCCCAGTGGGTTTTAAATCTGCTCACTACTGGCTAAATAACATGTTTGAAGAGAAAATAGCAAGCAATGATCAACATCTTATTCAGAGGCATAATAGCACTGCTGAAACTCCCCTTTCTCATCCCCTGTTATTATTAATGTGCTGCTATTACTTATTGTACATTGTGTCCCAGAGTGTGTGTGTTGCCCTTACATTGTATATATACATAAGTCCCACCCTCCAAAACCAGCCGTTATAAAGGAGAGAAAATCACAACTGATGCCATGTGGTAAAGGACTAGCGTCTCGAGCTCACTCACTGTGATCAGGCCTTTATTCCACCTGTCACATAATGAAATATTTCTTCCTTCTTGATTCAGAATGAACCAGCAGCTCGATTCTGTAAGGTCCTCTGCTGGGTATTTTCCTGTACATCATCCCATTTTCAGGCTGACAGAGCAATAGGTGGCCTTGTGTCTGCTTTTTTTTTTTTCTTTTTTTGTGACAGTTTCATTCTTGTTGCCTAGGCTGGAGTGCAGTGGTGCGATCTCGACTCACCGCAACCTCCGCCACCTGGGTTCAAGCGATTCTCCTGCCTCAGCCTCCCAAGTAACTGGGATTACAGGCATGCACCACCATGCCTGGCTAATTTTGTATTTGTAGTAGAGATGGGATTTCTCCGTGTTGGTCAGGGTGGTCTCAAACTCCCGAGCTCAGGTGATCTGCCCCCCTTGGCCTCCCAAAGTGTTGGAATTACAGGCGTGAGCCACTGCGCCCGGCCGCCTTGTGTCTGCTTTACAGATGCAAAACCTGAAATTCAGAGAAGGGAATTGCCACACTCCAGCTTGTATTGAAGACAGTGCTCGTGCCATCATTCCATGTTGCTTCCAGATCAAGGACGCTTAAATATTCCCAGGGGATTAAAAAATATGTATACTATGTAGGAACTCAGCAATTCTGTGCAAACAGAAAATAAAGTTACAGAGCTGTGCTATTAAGTTGGGTCTTGATCTTCCGCAGTTAGAATTAATTGATTGGCTCACTTCCCAATTGTTGTGTACCTCAGGCTTGATTGCACCTAAGAATCACTTGGTACTGTTGGTAACACAAAACAACACCACCAAAACAATGCTAGGGGCCACTCTGGATGACACTTTAGCATGGCTTGTGTTCCAAACCCAAACAAGCAGCAATGCCAGGCCCTACCACTAGATGTCATAGTTTAGTTTTTCTGGGGTAGGCCCAGTAGTGCGCCCATGTAATTCCAAAGTGTGGCCAGCCCTGGGCTGGGGCTGCAGCAGGTCTTTATCAGTGTCCTGAAGGAGGACATCCAGGCTCCACTTGGCTCCTGCTCAGGACCCTCCGTAATGTACAAATGCTAACCGTTAGTTTTAGAAGGCTGAGACTTTCCCTGGCACACTGTATTAGTCCGTTTTCATGGTGCTGATAAAGATATACCCAAGACTGGACAATTTACAAAAGAAAGAGATTTAACTGGACTTAAAATTCCGCGTGGCTGGGGATGCCTCACAATCATGGTGGAAGGCAAGGAGGAGCAAGTCCCATCTTACATGGATGGCAGCAGGCAAAGAGAGAGCTTGTGCAGGGGAACTCCTCTTTTTAAAACCATCAGATCTCATGAGACTTACTCACTGTCACAAGAACAGCACGGGAAAGACTTGCCCCCATGATTCAATTACCTCCCACCAGGTCCCTCCCACAACACCTGGGAATTCAAGATGAGATTTGGGTGGGGACACAGCCAAACCATATCACACACTCTAAAGTACAGAAGTTAAAAATCCATTGTAACAATCTTCCTGGGTCTGGACATATGTTTCCAAGCTTCCCTTCCTGCTTTGTATTTTGGTGTTAACAGCTTTCTCAGTAGAGCGTTACTGGCCACTTGCAGTCCTTTAGAGATTGGAGAAACATTTGTTCTGAGAAGGTGTATGACTCTATTATAACTGCATTGGAATGTTTGTTTCTGCTAACAGTATGAGCTCAATCTAGTAGTCACCTTTGTCTTTCCTGATTTTACTTCCCATTTCTGAGTACAATTAATTTTGCTATGTTCTAAGAATGTTGGTAAGAATTTATATACAGATTTCACTGTGTAATAATCATGTGAGTATCATATTTGAATCCATTTCCAAAAACGATTAAGGTTTTTGGAAAGAGGCAAATCTGATTTTTAATCCCAGCTCCTATAATTCATTATAATTGGGTGATTTCCTTGATGTCTACATCACACACAGTAATAAAGGTTATTGGGTGAATTAAAAGATACTTGTAAATTGCTTTAGTATACTGTCTGTTACATAGTAAGCATTCAACAAATGCGATTGTTATTATAAACATAATAATATTTTCTCCCATTTAATGGTGATCTTCTAAGAAAGAGGAACATTTTTCATTTACTCCTCTTTCCTTAGTATCTAGTACAGAATTTGGCACACACAATGAGTGTTTAGATAAATGACTCACTTTCGGAATTAGGTGATTTTTTTAAAGGGGATTTAGAGCATTAGGAATTCCTTTGATCAGTAGCCAAATCCCCAAGTGGAAGTAAAGGCACAATGGAATTACCTTGTACCTTGTACCGTCTTCTATACTACTTTTTAAGGGTGACATTTTTCCCTTCTGCATTCTCATGTATGATAAATTCTAAATCTAGAAAGGTTAGACAGCCATCCTCACAATCTGGTTGCCTTGACAACCATCATATTAAACAGTAAAGGCCTGTTGTTGGCGGGGGGAGGTGAATGTCAATATTACCACGGTCTAAATCTTCTGAAGCAGGGCTTGAAGGTCAAGGTTAAAAGTATTCAAAATTGCAATAAGACCTTTGGTTAATGTTTGTTAGATGTATTACAAGAGCTGAGTGAAGCCATCATCTTTTCAGGGTGACCAGTGAAGAGATTCATTTTGGCTGTCAGCCAGAAGACATTTGGACTGCCATTGACAAGGTTTTCCTTTTACTACACCAAGAGACTTTTGCCTTCTATGTGTGGTGAAAGAAAACAGTTTTTAAACCAATCAGAAATTAATAAAGGGACAACTCTGGATCATCCTCCTCAACTGTCTTTGCCTGCTTGTAAGTTGCTGTCCGTGTGTTTAAACTCACCTGCAAGGTGTATCTCCGCAGCTAGTAACAGAGATTGTCACAGGCAAGGGTGTCACCTACAAAGTGCTAAAGAGCCCTCTGAAAATGAAAAGCAAAGTGCCTCATTAATGTAGAGCAGTGTGGGGCTTCTTTAATTGCAGCCTATGTGGCTGCCCTTTTTAGATGGCTCCATGGGAAGGCGGAGGTAAGAGTGGAAGAAGGTATGGTTGTGAGAGCGAGAGAAATTGCTCCCCAAATATCCAGATGAACTTGACAACAGAGAAGTGTGTTTTCTGATTCAGCTGCCTTCTGATTAAATTCAGAAAGGCAAGAAAGAACTGTTGGATTCAGCAGAGGCTAAGATCGGGGAGCAGGTTTTTGAGATGTGTATGCGTGTGCTTTTGCATACTTCTCTGTTTTGTGGCTATTTTAGTGTTGTAAGATCCTGGAGGGTGGTGTTTCTTAACCTCTTTTTAAATATTATCACTCCCCTCTCCTATGTGCCTTTTTATACTTTTTATTTCCCTGATTAAACCTCTAACATGAGATTTTAATACCAAACCATTGGAATATCTTATTTTTTTTTGATCCCCACAAGAACCAACTTTTGTGTCTGTTAAGAATGCATGCAGTAGAGTAAATTTATGGTAACAGAAACAAAATCTTTTTTTCCACTTGCGTTTAATAGCAGAGTGATTATCTCTCTTCTTAGCACTTTGAACAGGAATGAAATATAACTAAATACACCACGCATACATAGTCACCTATCTATATCTGTGGGTTCTGTATTCTTGGGTTCAACCCACCAAGACTTGACAGTATTCAGGGGAAAAGAATAGATGGGTTACACCTGAACTGAACATTTATGGATATTTATTTTCTTTTCAGTATGCTCTAAACAATACTGTATAACAGCCATTTACATAGTATTTACATTGCATTAGGTATTAATAAGCACTCTAGGGATGATTTAAAGTATATGGGAGGATATACCTATGTTATATGCAAATACTACACTTATTTACATCAGGGGACTTGTGCACCTGAGGATTTTGGTATCCTTGAGGGTGCTGGAACCAATCCTCCACAGATAGAGAGGGTATGTATACACACACATGTTTATCCATGTGCTTTCGCGGTGATATCTGTATATATGAGCATATTCACATACATAGGAAGACTACAGATAGACAGGTTATGGCATACCCTGATAAAGCACCGTGTCATCTAACTTAAAACTAGAACAATAGCACCAAAGCCACCTGGATATCTTCACCATCCCATGCCCCACCTCCCTCACTCCCACCTCCTGTCAGGGTAAACCACCACCCTGACAGCTGTGACCATCCTTTCTGAAATTATTTGTTATGTCTCCCCAAACTGCACTGTTATTTCCTCAAAGCAATCATCTGGCACAGAGCTTTACACTTAGAAGTCGCTGAAGTGTTGAATGAATGAATGAACGAAGCAGGTGCATCAGTATATCCCCATCAGAAGCAATGGTTCTCAATAAGTGTTTTCTGTGTAAATGCATTGTTTCACTTTTTCAAAACTATTCATTGAGTGCCTTCTATGTGTCAGACACTGTGCTAAGTCTACATACATAAATACATACTGTGCACGGTAATAAGAATTGCAGCTTCTAAAATTATTAAGATCAGGCTACGCAGCAGCTAATGCAATTTTCTCCTCAGTGCATTGAAAAATCTATTAGTGAAGAAGGCAGCTATATTTCAGGAAATTAAGCCACTGTAACAGTCCAGTTCACAAATCAGAATTCCCAGTGCTTTGAAATGCTCCATTTCATAACATAAAGTACTGAAGGATGTTCAGGCAGTCTGTAAATGCTCCAGTGACCAATCCCCTCAAGCTTCGCAAAGCTAAATAGAGGATGCTTCTTGCTGGGCGATGAGAGAGGAAGGGGTTTTGTGCCACCGATAGGAGGAGGGACGTGTCTGTAGATCCACGATCACATTCCCCTTGGTTCACTTCTCCTTTGTCATCATTCTGGAATTATTTATGTTTGCAGAAGATGGTTGCTTAGTAGACTTCTGAATAATGAGCATTTTTAGGTGCAAGCCAGCTAATCTTATTTTGGGCTAGGGTTGTATGTCTGAATAAATGTTCATTGATGCTTACGGGAGATTGCTGTCACCTGCAAAGACCAGCTTCCAGGCTCTCTCAACATTTCCTTCTAAGTTGCTAATATAAGAAGGCATGAAATATGTAATTCAGTTCTCCTGTTGATGCTGGTTACTAAGAATTTTGCTGTAGCTGACCTAGAGCTGCTTGTATTTAAACAGGACTTCTAAATTTAAAAAGAAGTACAGCCAAGAAGCCTTCCTGGCCTCACTGTCATAAACTGCCTATGAGGTATAGAGATAGCTAAAGAACTCCTGATCTTACATCAACACTTCCTTTTATTAATATTTGAGAAAGGTCTTCTCTCCCCATAAATCCAACAAAGTATTAGTTTCAGGTGGGGCACTTAAGCTTGGGGCTATCTTATGACTTGTTTCTGAACAATAAGTTGGTTGTTGATCCAGTGTAAATGATTCAGCCAAGAAGACCTTGAGAAATAGCATTTTCTGTCTCCTAACTTGGTGTTTCTTAGAGGGTAATCTATGGAGACTTGCTTTTGAATCACCCGGGGTGCTGGTTTTAAAATACGGATTTCTAGGCCCTACCACAAATCTAATGAATTGTAACCTCTCAATAGGATCCTGGGAATCTAGATTTTCACCAGGCTTCCTCCAAGGTTCTGATGCCTCTCAGCTGCCTTCTGTTAATCTTTCCTCCATAAATCATTAGAGTATATTCCAAAAATATAGATGAGATCACATCTCTTAGCTCATGAAACCCCTTTTGTTTTTCCCACTGTCTCTGGGATATTATCCAGTGCTCTTTTGTATGGCATATGGTCCTGGTCTTCTCCAACATTTGATCCTGTCCTACCTTTCCATATCCATCTCTATCATTTTCAACTCTAAGCTTTTTCATTAAGTGTATCAGACTATAGTTATTTTACACACACACACACACACACACACACACACACACACACACACACACACACAATTGTTTATATCTCTGTGCCTTCGTTGTCCTATCATGCTTTTCTCCCAATATTTGAGAATCTCAATTTTCAACCCATTTTTCAAGACCAAATTTAAGGTTTATTTCCTCCAGACATCTCTATCTGATTGTTGTCCCTCCTTTCTTATCACTCCCCTTTAATTGTCCTTCTACTGGACCACTGCTATACGTATCTCAAACAACCAAGGGCTGAAAACACTTGAAAAAAAAATAGATGGTTGCATCTATATTGAACATGTACAGAGTTTTTTCTTGTCATTCCCAAAACAATACAGTATAACAACTGTTTACATAATTTTTACATTTTATTAGGTGTTATAAGTAATCTAGAGATGATTTAAAGTATACAGGAGGATGTGCATAGGTTATATGCAATAGGGCACCATTTTATATCAGAGACTTGAGCATCTTTGGATTTTGATCTCCAAAAGGGGTCATGTAACTAATAACCCACAGACTCCAAGGATGGCTGTACTTGGAATTTATCACAGTCCAGTTCATAACATTCTATAATTACAGATGTGGTAGCCAGTTTCCAAGATGGCACCCAGTAATTCCCACCTCCTAGCATTCATTCACTCCCATGTCTAGTCCCTTCCCACATTGCATAAACTTACCTATATAACCAATAAGATGTTGCAGGAATGATGCCATGTTACTTCTGAGGCCAAGTTTTCAAGATAACCTTGCCTCCACCTTGCTGTCTTTGGGACCACTCACTTTGGGGGAAGCCAGCATGTTGTAAAGACTCTCAAGCAGACTTCTGGAGTGGCAAAAACGTGAGCCTTCTTATTGATAGCTGGCATCAACTGCCGGGCATGTATGTGGGAGCCAGCATAGAATTAGATCTTACATCCCAGAGCAAGTATTCAGATGACTGCAACCTCATGAGGAATCCTAAGAACCACCCAGCGAATATACTCTGAGATTCCTGACACACAGAAACCATTTGAGTTAATAAATAACTGGTGCTGTTTTAAGCTGCTGCATTTTGAGGTAACTTGTGCAGTCATGGATACTGAATATCCACTAGACCATGGACTCCTTGAGAACGTCAGCCATGTTTCCTTCATCATGGACCCTGGTCCCTCGCCCTCCTCAGTACCTGCCCCATATTAAGGTGTTCCATAAATGTCTCATTAAATGATCTCAACTGAGCTAAACTGGAGTTTCTCTGTGCTGCCAAGGGTGAATACTCACAAATGCAGATGACTTTTTTTGTTTTGTTTTGAGCAGAGTCTCGCTTTGTTGCCCAGGCTGGAGTGCAGTGGCTCGATCTCGGCTCACTGCAACCCCCACCTCCTGGGTTCAAGTGGTTCTACTGCCTCAGCCTCCCGAGTAGCTGGGATTACATGCGCACACCACCACGCCCGGCTAATTTTTGTATTTTTAGTGGAGATGGTTTTTCACCATGTTGGCCAGGCTGGTCTTGAACTCCTGACCTCAGGTGGTCCATCCGCCTCGGCCTACCAAAGTGCTGGGATTACAGGCGTGCAACAGCAGGTGCCTTTAATAGATGTGAATATTGTCTTTTGCTCTTAGTATCATCAGTCATAATATTAACAGTTAACAATATCCATTGCTTAGATATAGCACCAGAATTTTCACAATCCCATGGAGTATGTGCTGTAAGTAGCCCCAATTTACTGATGAAAACTGAGGTACATAGAGGTTTAACTGCTTGCCCAGAATGACTCAGATAGTGAATGATGGAGCCAGTATTCAAACCCAGTCAGTCAGTCTCCAGACTATGTGTTGTTAACCATTTTATTTTATTTTTATGTATTTAATTTTTTTTGAGACAAAGTCTCACTCTGTCGCCCAGGCTGGAGTGTAGTGGCACGATCTTGGCTCACTGCAACCTCCACCTCCCGGGCTCAAGGGATTCTCCTGACTCAGTCTCCCAAGTAGCTGGGATTACAGGCATGCGCCACCATGCCTGGCTAATTTTTGCATTTTTAGTAGAGATGGGGTTGTACCATGTTGGCTGGTCTTGAACTCCTGACCTCAAGTGATCCGCCCACCTTGGCCTCCCAAAGTGCTGGGATTAATGGCATGTGTCATTTTAAACACTCATATCGAGCCCTGATGTGGCAAGCATTGTGCTAGGCACTTTGACTCTCCTACCTCATTTAATGCTTTTTCAAACCTCATGCAATGTGTATTGTTTTCTCTATTTTATGGGTGGGGAGCTTGAGACTTAGAGAGGTGACTTTGCCAGGCTGGTTGTGGTAGAGTCAGGATTCAGAATTGGGCCAGCCAGACTCCAAAGCTCGTGCTCATTTCACGATCTTCTTCCAAGGCATCTGCCAGTGTCTCTGTCCCAGCATCTCAAGCCCCGCCCCACTTCTGTTTCTTAACAATTATACTCTGAACATATAGGTTGGTTGCCAAGACAACCACTCAGAAACAACATGAAAGGCAAATGACTTTTCAAACATTCTGCAGCTGGGATGACTTCTTTTTTTAATTTTTTAAAATATGTCAAGGTGATTTGTAATCCACAGCAAAATGTTAATATGGGTAAGCAATCTATTTTGAGCAAAAAATATTTCCAGTATGGCAGAGGAGAGCTTACAGATTACATATATAGTAACGCCTTAGGAAGGAAGCAGGATATACTACTATTACCCTTTTTACAGGTGAGAAAATTAAGGCCTGGAGAGATTTGGAAGCCAGGAATGCCCAGCTCTAAAGACATTGTACCTAATTGTTTGAAAAACTGCTTGGAGAATGAAAATGTGTCTGGAGGGAGGCAGAGGCTCAGTCCTGACCCTGCAGTAAATCAGAAGAGTGAAGAGCACATTGAATAAGCCAGGTCCAGTGGGAAGGGAGGGAAAGAGAGAAACACATCAGTTCAGAGTAGAGTATCTAGGACTGGGGGACTGAAAGTTGAGGTAAGGAAAAGGACCACCAAACTTTGGGTACTAAATAATAGACAACCCTTAATCTTGGTAGGAGGAGTTTCAATAGGTCAGCCCATATAAAGGTCTTGCCACAATGCCTGACACCCAGCACGTGCTAGGCATATTTTCTATTATTATCTTTACTGGGGTATCTCAATGACTCCTGGAAATCCACATCTTGGAGAAGGAGTGAGCATCATTTCCTGACAAAACCAGTCTCTTTTCCTGTTTTTCCCTTATTTATCAAAGGTCAGAAATGTGTCATCACCATTGAGACATGGCTTTCCTCCATCCCCTGTGTTTTGGGCAGTCACCTGTAGAGGTGAGGTGTGTCCACTGTCCAGCTCTCTGCCTCCATGCTCATACTGCTAATCTGGTCAACTTCTCTGTGGACCACCTGGCATCAGATATACCCTAGAATCACTTACACCGCCTCATAGATGCTCCCCTTTGGGTCTGCCTGGTAATTGGCAGCTTCTTCAAGAAGGCAGATTTCCCTTTGAGAGCATCCCCAACCCCCCAGTTTACATAAAACCCTTAAAACCTGGGGTTGCCTGTGCTCCCTTTACATAAGTGAATTAGGTGATAATCTTGGGCATGACTGCATTTTTGCTGATTGAAGTTTAGACCATGCTGCTTAGAATTATTAACAGCCATTGCAAGGATAATGATCTGCCCATTAAAATAAACTAACTCTCATTTTTATTATCATTTTAATTACACGAACCCTTTGGCGTGTTGATAGTGATGAACAACATGGTGGGATATTACTCTGCCAGGTGTTGACTTCTCTATGGGGTGCTCTCGGGAAAATTTGCCTGGTGCCCTCCAGGTTTCCTCAGCCTGCCTTCGAGGGTGCTCTTCTCTCCATTGACCCCATGATGTAAGAAGTTCCTGGTTGGACTGAAGTGTGTTGCGGCATGGAAATGAGATTAATACCAGTGTGGATTGCATGGAGAGACTGCCCCAAAAGGTTGCATGGCTAATCACTCCCACGCACTTTTCCTCCTCCTCAAACCCAAAGTGTGCTGTCCAGTTTTGGAGATCTACCAGAGGGAGGGACTTTGCATTTTCCAGATTTCAGCTTGTGATTTTTTTTTTTTTTTTTTTTTTTTGAAATGGAGTCTCGCTCCATTGCCAGGCTGGAGTGCAGTGGTGCTACCTTGGCTCACTGCAACCTCTCCCTCCTGGGTTCAAGCGATTCTCCTGCCTCAGCCTCCCGAGTAGCTGGGACTGCAGGAGCACGTCACCATGCCCAACTAATTTTTGTATTTTTAGTAGAGACAGGGTTTCACCATGTTGGCCAGGGTGGTCTCGATATCTTGACCTCATGATCCGCCTGCCTCATTTTTTACAGAAACATAGGACAAGGTGACAAGTGACTTATTTCCCCTGACAAAACCATCTGCATTCCTGACTTCCCCTTTACTTTCAAAGGTACCAGAATTTGCTGCTTTTATCATGCCCCAAATTCTGAGTCATCTGAACTTCGGTATTGCTGACAGGCATTCACTGAGAGGAGAAGTGGGCTTAGAGGAGACCTGTTGCTTGCCCCGCATGAGGCTGGATGCTGTGCCTTCTCCTGTGAATACTATAACATTGTAGGCCCCCATTTTCCAGATGAGAAAACTAAGACTCAAGGAGGTTAAGTGAGTTACCTGAGGTCACACAGCTCATTAAAAGTAGAACCAGTTCTATAGCCCAGGCTTCAGGGCTCAACAAACTATGCCTCTTCTGTTGTTCTGTCCTGACCCTGGATTTTAGCAATCATGAACACTTCTGCTCCTAGGTGAGGAAAATATCAGAGAAAAATGAACTCAGGCCTGGCTGACTCCGTAGTCATGCACATTCATCAAACAGTTTTTGAATAATTACTGTGTTGTTACCACAGTCAAAAAGACATCGTCCCTGCCTCAAGGAGTTTCAGTCAAGTGCAGGAGAGGGGCATGGAAAATTGAACCCAGCAGGATAACATGCTGTGCTGGAGGAAGGGAAACAGCTTGCTTCTTGCTTTGGGAGCCCCTAATCCAGCCTGGGGCTGTGGGGGTGGGGGTGGCTGGAAGGCAGTGATTTCTAAGTTGAGACTTGAAAGAGGGGGAGAATGTGGATGGAGGTGGGGGAAGAGTGCTAGATATCATGCCGTCTCTAAGAGGGTGAGCTATTTGTAATAAATGTACCTGCTTCTTACCACTTGTTCTTTCCCCACCACCAAATTTCTTAATTTTCCACCTTTTCCTGGGGCTTTCTTTCTGAATACAAACTCATCCCATTGCCTCCTTTACAACTAATTGAACACTTGGACTTAATTGATTATGTATTAAGTTGGGGACTTGGAGTGACATTCAGGACTGGGCTCATGTTGAGATTAATTTATTCCTGTAGTCTTCCTGTTTTGCAGTGTAACTGAGTGCCTCACATGTGTGTTAAAAATAAAACGGAGAGTCAGGGCAATCTAATTAGACAGCTTAACCCATCACTCTCGTGTTCAGTCTTCACCCAGCTCTCCTGCTTTGATGGTAACCAAAATAGATGAATAAGTTAATCAAAGGTCTGATTAAATAGCACAGCTCTGCAGCATGGACTAATGATTGCCAAGCCTCAGTTCAGGCAGATTGCTAGAGGAGAGAGGAAGCTGAGCTGAGCTCCAAAGGCCAGGGCTTTCATGAGGAAGATGTTTATAAAGCACATGGGAGGGAATTCCTCACTGAGTCCTCGGATCTTAACGGTGATGGCTCACTCTAAAGGAAGGATAATGTAGTTTGGGGAAAGAACACAAACCTTCTCCTGGCAAATTCTGACTCTTAGAGCTTTGCATCTTGCTGGCTGTGGGATTGTAGACAAATCGCCCGCCTTCCTATGCCTGCCTGCCATCCATCATCCATCCATCCATCCATCCATCCATGCATTCATCCATCCATCCATCCATCTGTTCCAGATATGTGTTTTGTACCTATTATATACAAGGCATTGTGCTTATTTTTTTTTTTTTTTTTTTGAGACTGAGTTTCGCTTTTGTTGCCCAGGCTGGAGTGCAATGGTGCGATCTCTGCTCACCGCAACTTCCGCTTCCTAGGTTCAAGTGATTCTCCTGCCTCAGCCTCCCGAGTAGCTGGGATTACAGACATGCACCACCACACCCGGCTAATTTTGTATTTTTAGTAGAGATGGCATTTCTCCCTGTTGTTCAGGCTGGTCTCGAACTCCCAACCTCAGGGGATCCGCCCACCTCAGCCTCCTAAAGTTCTGGGATTACAGGCGTGAGCCACTGCGCCCAGCCAGGGCATTGTGCTTTGATTTTGTTGTTGTTCATTTAATTTGCCCTTGTGTTAACTGTATGACTCGGTTGTGTGAGGTTTTTCCTTCTAGGTCCTCTCTTGCCGTAACCCTCACTTTATGCTCCATGAGGCTGATGCATAAAGCATCTCTAGTCTCGCTTTCGCTCTGGTTTCCGTTAGGGTTGACTGGAGGGCTGCCCTCCCGGGAGACTGGTGGGCAGGAGGGAAGTGAGGTTGAGATGTTTTTTCCTGTTCTGGCTTATGCGTTGCCACAGGTAGGCTGTGTCCCTCTGCTGAAGGTCACTGCCTCAGCCAGGTGGCCTTACTCAAACAGCAATTCTCTCTGGATTCCAGCATCTGCTGGCCTGGGCCCTTTTGGCCTTGGGGTGGTAATGGCCCCAAGTACTCTTCCCCTCCTCAAGTAACTGCACGGTTCTTGTTACTGCCCCTAATTCTGCATATACTTAGATTAAATAGTCCTTTTATTAAATCTTCCTTAGATTCCCCAGGAGAGTGTGCTGTTTCCACCCACACACTGCCTGATAGGATGAAGTAAGTGTAGCAACATGGATGGAGCTGGAGGCCATTATCCTAAGTGAACTAACTCAGAAGCAGAAAATCAAATATCACATGTTCTCACTTACAGATGGAAGCTAAACAACGGGCATACCTGGATACAAAGCTGGAAATAATAGACACTGGGGTCTCCAAAAGAGGGGAGGGTGAGAGCTGTGTGAGGGGTGAGAAATTGCCTGCTGGATACAGTGTTCAACATTCAGGTGACAGGTATACTGGAAGTCCAGTCTCCACCATTACACAGTGTACCCATGTAACAAAAATGCGTGTGTACCCCCAGAATCTAAAATTAAAAATTTTTTAAAAAAGAAATCATGACCTTTATAAATAGCAGAAACTCAGAAAAGCTGAGCAAACCTGTCCAAGGTGACATGGCGATTAAGTGATGATACTAGAATCTAAATCCAGGCATGCCTGAATCTACCACCCAGGGTGTTTTGCTCTCCTGCATACATCCCACAGACCCTTACCTTCATCTGGAAGCACCAAAAGAGGCACTGATAGCTAAATACATGGAATAAGATAGAGGGATCAGGAAGAAGGGCGGGAGCTTATTACTGAGTATATTTTGTGTACCACGCCCTTGAGTCCTTTAATATAATTTAATTTTTATACCACTGTGTGAAGTAGGCATCGTCTCCATTTTACCAACTTTTAAAAATGAGCAACTACTCTTAAAAAAAAACTAAGTAACCACATTTTTTTCTAACATCATAGTCTAGTGATGGTGGCACACAGGAGGCCAATTTAGGGCAGCTATGAGACAGGTTCCCCATGCTGACTCATGAGACCCATTCCATCTCTGAAACACACTCCATTTTACAGGTAAAGAAACCAAGGCTTAGAGAGATCAAATGCTTTGTGTGGGGCTAGAGCCCAGATTTGAACTTCTGTCCTTTTTCCCCACCTCCATGATGCCTGGGTGTAGGGTGACAGGGACTCATACACAGAGTTGGGGATGCTTTTTTTGAAATTGATGAGAGGTGAAGCCAGCTGGACTTCCTGGGTCAAATGGGGACTTGGAGAACTTTTATGTCTAGCGAAAGGATTGTAAATGCATCAGTTAGCACTCTGTAAAAATGTACCATCAGTGCTCTGTGTCTAGCTAAAGGATTGTAAACACACACCAATCAGCACTTTATAAAATGGACCAATCAGCACTCTGTAAAATGACCAATCAGTGCTCTGTAAAATGGACCAATCAGCAGGATGTGGGCAGGGAGAAATAAGGGAATAAAAGCTGGCCACCCCAGCCAGCAGCGGCATCCCTCTCGGCTTCCCTTCCAAGCTGTGGAAGCTTTGTTCTTTCGCTCTTCACAGTAAATCTTGCTGCTGCTCACTCTTTGGGTCTGCGCCACCTTTAAGAGCTGTGATACTCACCACAAAGGTCCACAGCTTCACTCTTGAAGTCAGCGAGACCAAGAACCCCCCGGAAGGAGCCAGCTCCGCACACAGTTTGATGTCTTGCTGCTATTTTTTTCTTCCTTTGCATAGATTTGGGTGAATGTGTTTCATTTGGTTTGATTACACGTAGTTGTTTTTAAGTAAAAGCAGTTTTAAAGCTTGCTTTTTTCCCCTTTAACATCATATGCAGGTTTTTAGAAATTATATCTTGATCCACATTGTTTTAAACAATTACATAGTATGCTATCAGAAAAACAAGAGTATCATGTTTGAATTAATTGTTCCATTTTGGGGCATTTTGATGGCTGTTCTTTGGTAACATGGTGATGAACATCTTTGGGAATAAAACTTTGGTGTCTAAAACAAAATTTTTAAATTTGAATTTTTTTAAGAACATCTCCTCAACATGGTATTTGTAAGGTCAAAGGAGATCAATATTTTTTGGAATCCTGAGAAGGTGGCCATGTTCCCTGTTTTAAAGGGTTCTATTAAAAGTGTTACCCTCTTGAAAATAAGTGTGCTTTGGCTCCCATGGAAACTCCCCATGGCAGCTAGGTTGGGGCCTCTGCCCACAGTGATCTTCATAAATGACTGTGCATAGATGAGAGCTTTCATCACACTGGTGCTTTTATTTTTATCCTTGCCTTTGGACACAAAATGGCACCCGTGTGTGTACCTCGCTGATGACTCTGCCCACCTGCAAGCCATTGATTGTTCCATTATGTTATGTGAGGATCATAATGTCAGTGCTCCATGGGTGGTTCATTTCTGTCCTATGTGTGTGTCCTCTATTGCTGTCAGGTGAAGAGTGTCGCGTGATGACTAGGTCCTCCTTGACTAGGAGGTGAAGAGTGTCACGTGATGACTAGGTCCTCCTTCTGTCCTATGTGTGTGTCCTCTATTGCTGTCAGGTGAAGAGTGTCGCGTGATGACTAGGTCCTCTTATTTATCTGAGAATAAAGAGAAGGCAGCAGTAGTAATCTATTCAATTACAGTTTTAAAAGAATAAGCATAAGCTTTAACAATACTACTGCCCACTAATCTTTAATGACACGTAAATGGAATATGATTTAAAGAAATATACGTACATAGGAACAATTTGATACTGGTTGCAAAAGTATTTGTAGTGGGATTCAATTTTTGGACCTTTATGTTTTTGCATATCCTTTTTTTCTCTAGTGGATCTATTTAATTTCTATAATAACAAAAGTTTTATTTAAAAATCTCAACATAGGATTTGCAGTAATAATTATTTCATAACTATTACTTTTCCTCTCCCTTAATTCAGATACATTTTCCTCCAGAAAACTTCACATGTCAAAATGCAAATTATATAAATCTTTAAAAGAAAACTCATTCATTTATTCAACAAATTTTTATTGGATACTTTTTGTGTGCTAGGCACTATTTATAATGTTTAAGCAAAGAATTAATATAGCAATTTTTTTTCCCTTTCTCCAACTCTCTCTCTGCCTTGTTCTGTCTAGTCTGAAGTTTCCTGGATCCCCAATAAACATTACTCTGGGATTTATGGTCTGATGAAGCTTGTCCTGACCAAGACTCTTCCTGCCAACCTGGAGAGAGTCATCGTCCTTGACACGGATATCACCTTTGCCACTGACATTGCAGAGCTGTGGGCTGTGTTCCACAAGTTCAAAGGTAATGGTAGCCCATTCGTTTTTTCCCCGATATCCTTGTAGGTATCAGCATGCCAAGAATAGGGGTTGACTTTTTTAAAAAGGTGAGGTCTCCTCGAATGAGGTCGTGCTAATGCAGTGGGTGAGGAATTACAAATATGGTTCAATATCAACTCTGCTTGGATTTGAAAAATAATAGAGTAAAACAGAAACTTGTTTACATGTCTTTAGTAAATGAAGATGTTTTTAACAGATAAATATCAAATGTGTGTATTTTGTATGCAGATAGCGGAGTGTTCACATACTGGTCGGGACGTGTGTTCATTGGTTTTCTTTTTATCGAAGGATAGTCTAATTGCCAAGAAAGCCTGTGAGGTAGTAGAGATGAGTATTGATTCTAGAGTTTTTGAAAATGTTCATATGGCTTTTGCTTTCATTAACGTTGTGGTTTATCATTTTAAGGAGATGTATGTATTTGGCTTTCTTTACAAGACGTTCTTTCTAGTCTGGTGGGTTTCTTTATAGCTATTATTGTAACTCTCGTCACGGCCTCAAGGTATATGAGAGTACCTAGGGGGAAATTGTGAGCTCAGTAGGTGTACTAACTGTGGCATGGATATGTGAGAGAAGTGGCAGGTTAGCACAAATCTTAGGCTGTTATTTTAATACCCCTCTCCCAGATGTCTTTTTAAAAATTATATTATTTTAAAAATTCTTCTATACTGGATGAGTACAATGAGAAAGAAATTCGACAGTGAAATTTTTAGTTTTATATATTTTTTTAATTGCACGCTAGCCCCTTCTGTGTTTAAAATCCCTTCTGCCATTCCTCTTAGCTCCATATCCTATGAAAGCAAAATACTACTTAATGATTTTAAATCCCAGCATTTTCATAAATCACAGGATATTCCTGTTGGTTTCTGTTTCTATTCATGAACAGAGAGTAAATTTCCTTGCTTGCCCTGGTCACTCCCTGCTTCCTTCTCAGGGCTTCTGAGCTCTGGGCTAATTGAGGAAAGTCTTCACCAAATCATGGGAATGACATTTTGATCCCCGGGACTCTTTCCCTTATCAGGATCAAAATTTACTTTTCTTATTCGTGTCAATAATGACACTAACAATGACATCATTTAGGACAGCTGTTGAAATTGAGTATGGCACAGCTCTCTAATCTTCATAGAACGTGTGGACGTGTCCTTTTGTTTCATAAAGAAAGAAACGGAAGCTTAGAGGGATGCAGGCTTTTCCCAGAGTTGAGATCAGAGTGCCCGTGTCTTGGCTTCCATCCGCTGCTCTTTTCAAGTTCCCCTATCGTGTCTGTTTGTTTTTCTCTTCCTGATCACAGTGAACTCACGAGGGGCAGTTTTTCTATAATTACATGGTGTTTTATTCATTTTCTTATGCTGATGTTGAGTGTTCAGTGATGCATTTCTTCAACTGGCGTTTATCGAATCCCTACTGGGTGTGAAGCAGTGTGACGGGCTCTGCAAATGAGGAGATGAGTAATGAGGGGACAGTGAGAGTTGTCACCTCTCCTAGAGGGGGTTAGAGAAGGTAGCTGGGAAGGTGTCACGGAGGAGCTCCTAATTGTGCTCTGTCTCATCAGATGAGAATGGTGGTCGTATGTACTAGACTCCCACATTTTCCTTTGGGAATAAAGGCCTTATTACGCCAGCTGGTGGGAGCAGTCCCTGCAGCGGGGGCTCTCAGAAAAGGCATCAGCCCTTTTTGCAGTTGCCTCTGTTGAAGTGAGTGGCCATGCCTGTGGCCACACCCCTTCGTGGGACACCCCACATCACGGAATGGCTGATGAACATGAGGTCCTGCAGGATCATCTGCCACACTCGGATACTGCCTCACAGGCTGATTTTCCCCTCTGCCTAGTCCTGCTTTCTCCCCTTCCCTTTCATAGGTGCTGTTCTCAAGAGCTCTCTCTAATAAACCTCTTGTATGCTGACATCCATCTCGGGGTCTTTTTCCAAAGAAACTCAACCCACAGCATATATTTAGAGCTGTAAGTCTCCGTTGGATAAGTATAACCACCATAGTCACCAGAACAGGTCATCAGAGATTGTAGAGCTGTAGCTAGGAAATCACGTTTATTCTCTTGCAGCTTGCAATGGCTATAGTGCTAGTGGCGCTCTGTAGCCAATAACAACGTGAATTGTCATGGTTATTTTAAATACGCTGATATCATCCGTGGAAGGGAAGGCACCAGAGCTCTTGCTGCTCCCATAGCTGGCCCAAGGACTTGATTTGGAGGACTCTCAGATTCAAGGCAGCTCCTGGGGTTGAGTAGGGTATATGGGCCAAGGTCAGGACAGGGACAAGGTAAATTTGAATGCAAGGAGCTGAGTTAATGGGCTGCATTTTATTTGTTCATTCTTTTGTTGGTTTATTTCTAGCATTTGTTAGGCCCCCACTGTGAAGAGGAATAGATTAGATGCTGTTGTTCCCTAAAGCTGTTGAGAACACAGCACCTGCCTTCAAGGAACTCAGAAACAAGGCAGAGTGCATTGCGTTTTTATCTATCACCAGCAAAGGAGTACAAAACATCAGAAGTTTTCCCATGCCCACCCTAATTTTTCTGGAAAAATACAGAGGTGAAAAGAAAATAAGTAAAGCTCATCTCTTCTCCATATGTCCCTATTTTGTATCACTTTTGTATGTGTGTGATTGTTTTTCTAAACCAAACTATTAGAAGCCAGGTCATGGAATAGGAAGAAAGCCTGTTAAGTCAGGCGCATAAATGTAGAATGTTCTGATCCAAGAGAGAGTGTCCTTCATAAAGGCAATTGTCGTTGACATCCTTCACTGTAAACGGTTGGAGTGATGTTGATACAATGTGGCCTGGCTAATTTTTCACTTTTTGAGAACAGCTGGTTGTCTGGGGCTGCAGTGGCTCTTGGTCAGATTGCGCTTGATTCCTTTGTGGCGCTGTGAAAGCCCCTTGTTCCTAAATTCATTACCGGGAGAATTACAAAGAAGCCTTTTTCAGGAGTTAGACCCATCCTCAGCCTCTACCAGAAGAAGCCTCTTAGAGATGTCCCCATCTTCCCTGAGCTCGACTTCAGCTAAGTAGCAGATACCTCCCTCCTATGTCAGCGGTTTGCACCTTTACCCAGCCTGCACCAACAGCTGGAAGATTTTCAGAACCACCAATTCTTAGCAGAAAGAATCAGACATACCATTATTGGCCAGGGTCAGGAGCCACCCATTCGGTCAATATTTACTGAGCTCCTTCTAGGTGCCAAATAGCTTACTGTTGGGACTGTTGCAAGAATAAGACTGTTTGGTGAGCCCGTAGCTACACCGGGGTGCTAGTACCAGAGTGGCTAGCAGCCCTGTCCTAACAGAACATTCAGGGGAGCTGGACATGGGTATGGTATGCTTCTCACGAGATACTTCTGGTATACCTGGCAGGGGTCCCTCACATGGGAAACTTATTTTCATAGGCAGATGTCCTTGCAGCTCTTGTCTGACCTGTGTTCAGTTTACACCTGTCTGACTACCAACTACTCTGCCACTGGGAGCCTGACCTTGTCCTCTCCCTGGCGTACCAGAGAAAACCAGCCTGGGGCAGCCCCTGGTTCTTCAATGGAAGGCGCAAATTCAACACACCATTACAATGGTGGAGCTGGTGAGGAGGCAGGTGGCTAAATGAGTGTTTGTAAAACAGAGGGAAAGCTAACTACCATTTCTTAAGCACGTCTTAGGTTCTAGGCACTGAGCTAGAAGCTTTGCACACTTGAAAGTTAAATAAACTGATGGCTCACGCCTGTAATCCCAGCACTTTGGGAGGCCGAGCCCGGCAGATCACGAGGTCAGGAGATCGAAACCATCCTGGCTAACACGGTGAAACCCCATTTCTACTAAAAATACAAAAAATTAGCTGGGCGTGGTGGCGGACGCCTGTAGTCCCAGCTACTCGGGAGGCTGAGGCAGGAGAATGGCGTGAACCTGGGAGGCAGAGCTTGCAGTAAGCCGAGATGGCGCCACTGCACTCCAGCCTGGGTGACAGAGCAAGACTCTGTCTCAAAAAAAAAAAAAAAGTTAAATAAACTGGGCTCAAGAGAGATTAAATTACTTTTCATGCTCAGAGAGCTATTACATAGTGAAACTGAACCCCAATCCATACGGCTTTGGAGTCTGTGCTCTGTCCACTGACCCAGGAGGCTGTACTGCACTTAGAACGGGTGTGACTGCTGAGTACGTGTCACCTTGGACCCCTGCATGCCTTAGTTTTTACTGCACAAAACACTGGAAATAATATGTGATTGTTGTCATTTGGGGAGGCTGTTGTGAAGGCATAAATAATAAATACACACCCATAATCTGAAGCTTTTGGAAGAAGGCCGTGCTGAATATTCAAGATAGTGATTTGATCCATAAGCACAGATGCCTCCCCTCTAAGAGGATCTTAGTGCCACAGAGTAAAATTCTCACCCTACAGCAGGTATGGTCAAACTATCCAGCGTACATGGGCACTGCCTTCCTCACCCTCACGGCACCGCAGATGTGCCATGCCACTGGGTATCATTCAGGGCCTAATAGACTCTGTGTTGTTCCTTACAACTAACATGTTTAAGCACTTAGTCTGTGCCAGCCACTCTGTTAAGGACTTTATGGATAAACTCATTTAATCCTCACAACCCTCCCATGAAGTGATTACTGTTGATGTTCCTATTTTAGAGATTTGGGAGCTGATGCTTAGGGAGGCATAGTTTACCTGGAGTCTCACATTTCTTAAGTCATGAAACCGAGATTTGAACCCAAACAGTCTAACTTTGAATCCAGTCCTCTTTACTCTGCACCCTCCTTTCCCTTGAAGAGGAGTAAGAGAAATCATTGTCATGTGGGTGGAGTTAAGAGTGTCTTTGGAGAGACCGAAGTTAGATTCGTGAAAGAACTCAAAGTGACCATATACACCAGGTTGTAGAGGGCGGGCCCAAGGCGATCTAGGCATTCAGAGAACAAAGGCAGGGAAGCAAAATTAGCATAGAAAAGTGTAGTTTTCACAGGATTCGAGAAATAAAATCTCAGTCTCCAGAATTCTGGCCCAGCATGTGACCTCCGAGAACATCATCTTTAAGTAGCTGTAGTTGGGGTCCAAGAGCTCTACCCAGAGACTCAGCATGTCCAGAGAATAAGGCAGGATCACCCTGATGACTCTGTCAGCGTGGGCAGATGCTGTGGCCTGAAGGTTTGTGTCCTCGCAAAGTTCCTATGTTGAAACCTAACCCCCAGTGCAATGGCGTTAAGAGTAGAGCCTTTAGGAGGTGATTACCTCATGACAGCTGTATGAATGGGGTTAGTACCTTTATGAAAGAGGCTTGACAGACCTTGTTCATCCCTTATATGTGAGGACACAGTTAAAGGGATACCATCAGCAGGGTGTGGTGGCTCACGTTTGTAATCCCAGCACTTTGGGAGGCCGAGGGGGGTGGATCACCTGAGGTCAGGAGTTTGAGACCAGCCTGGCCAACATGGCGAAACCCCGTCTCTACTAAAAATACAAAAACTAGCTGGGCGTGGTGGTGTGTGCCTGTAATCCCAGCTACTCAGGAGGCTGAGGCAATAGAATCACTTGAAACCGGGAGGCAGAGGTTGCAGTATGCCAAGATCACACCATTGCACTCCAGCCTGGGCAACAAGAGCAAGACTGCGTCTCAAAAAAAAGGTGTACCATCAATGAAGCAGAGAGTTCTCACCATGCATCTGATCTGCCGGAGCCTTGATCTTGGACTGCCCAGCCTCTAGAACTGCAAGCAATAAATTTCTGTTGCTTATAAATTACCCGGTGTCAGATATTTTGTTATAGCAGCTCAAACTGAATAAGACAGCAGGTTATCTTAGTTGATTTAGGCTCAGAGAAGGAATAATGCTAACGGGGTCTTTGTGAGAATTGTACAAGATAATGTGCATTATTTTTCCACATTCCATTTTCTCTAAGGACTCCTGCCAGAGTGAATGGGATGATGGCAGACATCGTTAATGTGTGTCTGCTCCATTTCCTCACAGTTCTGTCCACAGAGCCATTGGGGCTGTACAATAATGTAGAAAAGCTGAACATGAAGAACATTGAAGTATTACTTTTGAAAAGACATTTGTAGAAATTTTATGCTTATAATCAGTTGCCTCGAAGGAGTTTTTAATGCTCTTTGAAGTTTCTTCAGGTCTTGTCTTTCTTTGTTACCTTGCCGCCCTGCCTGTCTCCTCTGATGGAATTGGTGGAGTCAGAAGAGCTTAGCAAAAAAGAGACCAAGCTTCAAGTCCCTGCTGGTCTACTTTATCAGCAGGGTGATCTAAGGGAGGTCATTGAACCACTCTTGACCTCGCTTCTGCACCTGTAGAAAGAAGATACTGATATCTGCTCACAGTGGTTGTGTGAAATTTGAGGAGGTGATTCAGTGATCCTGGTACCTGACGGACACTTGGACCTTGCGTGTTTCTTTCCCCTTTCCTTCCTCCTCTCTCCTGTGGTTAAGTTTGGTGTTGTCCCATTGGCCCCTTTTTATTTGACTTTAAATCTCCTTTCCTGCCTTCCCTTATCTCCAAATGAAGCTCAGTGTCCCCCGCCCTGTTAGCCCATAGGAAAGGAATCAAAGAAGACCTTTCAAGACAATCCCATGACCTTATGCCAGTCAGATTTTCCTGATTAAAGGCTTCCCTTCTTGGCTGGCCCAGTGTGCCCCCTTCTAGGGCTCAACATGGACAGATTTCCACGCATCTCACATTCACTCCTGACAGTTCCTAAACTTGAGAGACTGTTTTGCCCCGGGGAAGAAAAACATAAATTTTAAAAGATGAAATTCTCAAAG